>NW_025791818.1:464787-619716 GCF_000001405.40 Homo sapiens | reverse complement strand
TGCACCAGGAAAAGTTACAGGTACTCAATGCCAGCTTGTGAGAGCAGGCTCAGAAGCTGAGCCCTGCAAAGCCACAGGGTCAGAGCTGCCCAAGGCCCTGGGAGCCCATCCCCTGCAGAAGCATGCCCTGGATGTGAGACATGGAGTCAAAGGAGACTGTTTTGAAGTTTTAAGATTCAATGACTGCCCTGCTGAGTTTCAGACTTGGGTGGCGCCTGTAGCACCTTTCTTTTGGAATGAGAATGTTTACCCAGTGCTTGTATCTCCATTGTATCTTGGAAGTAAATAACCCATTTTGATTTTACAGGCTTCTAGGTGGAAAGAACTTATTTCCAGATAAGACTTTGGACTGGGGACTTGGGACTTTTGAGTTGTGCAACCGCCCAAGGGGTTCACCTTGCCTGCTGCCTAGACACAGCTTATTTATCAAGACAGGGGAATTGCAATGGAGAAAGTAATTCACACAGAGCCAGCTATGCAGGAGACTAAAGTTTTATTATTACTCAAATAAGTCTCCCCGACTATTCGGGGATCAGAGTTTTTAAAGATAATTTGGTGGGTAGGGGCTTGAGAAGTGGGAAGTGCTGATTGGTCAGGATGGACATGGAATCATGGAGAGTTGAAGTGAGTTTTTCTTGCTGTTTTCTATTCCTGGATGGGATGGAAGAACTGATTGAGCCAGATTACTGGTCTAGGTGGTGTCAGCTGATCCATCAAGCGCAGGGGCTGCAAAATACCTCAAGCACTGATCTTAGGTTTTACAGCATTGATGTTATCCTCAGGAGCAATTTGGGGAGGTTCAGACTCTAGTAGCCAGAGGCTACCTGTCCCCTAAAATGTAATTTCTAATCTTCTATCTAATTTGTTAGTCCTGCAAAGGCATACTTGTCCCCAGGCAAGAATGGGGTCTTTTTGGAAAATGTCTGTTATCAATTTTGTTTCAGAGTCAAACCATAAATTGAATTCCTTCCCAAAGTTAGTTTGGCCTATGCCCAGTAATGAACAAGGACAAAGGTTAGAAGCAATATGGGGTTGGTTAGGTCTGATTTCTTTCACTGTCATAATTTCTTCAGTTATAATTTTGCAAAGGCAGTTTCATTAATGCTGGAATGTGTTAAGACTTTGGAGGACTATTGGGATGAGATTATTGTATTTCACAGTATGAGAAGGACATGAGATTTGTGGGGGCAGGGGAGAATGACATAGTTTGGACATGCCCTCCAAATCTCATGTTGAGATACAATCCCCAATGTTGAAGGTTGGGCCTGATGGGAAAGGTTTGGATCATGGGGGTGGATCTCTCATGGCTTGGTGCTGTCCTCATGATAGTGAGTTCTCACAAGATCTGGTTGTTTAAAATTGTGTGGCACCCTCTCTCCTCCATCTCTCTCTTGCTCCTGCTTTTGCCATATGATGTGCCTGCTCCTGCTTTGCCTTCCATCATGAGTAAAAGCTCCCTGAGGCCTCCCCAGAAGCTGAGCAAATGCCAGCACTATGCTTCCTGTACAACCTGCAGAACACTGAGCCCATTAAAGCTCATTTCTTTATAAATACCTAGTCTCAGGTATTTCTTTATAGCAATGCAAGAATGGCCTTAACACAAGCAGTCTTAGCCCTTCCCAGCCTCCCATCAGCCCAAGCATCTGGGCTTATCTGCTTTAAGATGTTCTCCATAATATTGATGGTGTGTTTTTCTGCTCTGTGGTCATAAAGGGCATTTGGGAGTGCACAAGCTTGTTCTGGTGGCACCTCAATTTTCCCAAAGCAAAGGTTACTGTGGCAATTAACTTAGTTAACAAGTCCTGTCCCAGTGAAGGGATTGGGCATTCTGGCATGTACAAGAAACTATGCTTTAGTTTGACTGTGCCCACTTGGTAGTCCATAGGTTGTAAAAAGGACTTTTTCATAAGTGTTCCAGACACCCCATGATAGTCATAGTATTGGGTGACAATTTTGTTATTTTGATATTTAGGACTGTATTAGTCTGTTTTCATGCTGCTGATGAAGACATACCCAAGACTGGGCAATTTACAAAAGAAAGAGGTTTAATGGATTTACTATTGCACATGGCTGGGGAAGCCTCACAATCATGGCAGAAGGCAAAGAGGAGCAAGTCACGTCTTACATGGATGGCAGCAGGCAAAGAGATGGCAGCAGGCAAAGAGAGAGAGAGCTTGTGCAGGGAAAACCCCATGATTCAATTATTTCCCACCAGGTCCTTCCCACAACACATGGGAAATATGGGAGCTACAAGATGAGATTTAGGTGGGGACACAGAGCCAAACCATGTCAAGGAAGGAGTACGTGGCTCCAATATCAATCAAGAAATCAACTTGTCTTTTTCCCACCAAAGAGTTACCCAGGGTTCCAGGCAGGAGATGGGGATGCAGCCTCATCCACCTATTGTACCCCCTGAGACCCCATCACTCTCTTGGATACCTCTGACAAAAGTAAAGCCTTTTCTTCTTTCCCCTGGGATTGCCTTTTTAAACTCAGGAAGTCCTTTTCCAATGGTCCTCTTGTTTACAATATGCACAATGCTTGGGCCCCATCTATGGATCGCCTTTCTGGAGGCCTTTCTTGTTTCCAGGGGTGTCTACCTTCTCATTGGGCTTCTTTACTTCAAGTGCTGTGAACAGAGCAGCAACCAACAAAGATGCCTGTTTTTCCATCCTCTGTTGCTCTTTATGATCCAATGCTTGATCTCAGTTTTTGAACACCTTAAAAGCAATCTATACAGTTAAGAGATAGACATTCCAAAAACACTTTCTAATTTTTATAGCTTTTTCTGAATGCCAGGAGTGCTTTGACTAATAAAAGTTATGTTAATTAATCTGAGGTTCTCAGGGGCCTCAGGATCTATCTCAGTTGACATTGCCAGGAGGCTTCAAAAATTATCTCCAAAAACTTTCAGATGAGTTTTCATTTGGCCTCTGTCACATTTCCTGAAATTTATTAAAGCTACACTACTTTGAGACCCCTTTCCTCAGGACTGCTAAAATTCAATCTCTTTAATGCTTGCAATGAGCTTGACTCTCATGATTTGGATCCTATCAGGATCTTGCACATGCCAGAATGCCCAGTCCCTTCGTTGGGACAGGACGTGTTAACTAAGTTAATTGCCACAGTAACCTTTGCTCTGGGAAAATTGGACATTGAGGTGCCACCAGAACAAGCATGTGAGCTCCAAGATGCCCTTTTTGACCACGGAGCAGGAAAACACACCACCAATATTATTGAGAACATCTTAAAGCCCAGACACTTGGGCCAATGGGAGGCTGGGAGGAGCTAAGACTGCTTGTGTTAGGCTATAGCCTCAGCAGTAGCTGCCCAGACCAGATTGCTGGCAGTCTCAGTATGTTACTGGTCAGCTTCTTCTCTAGCTTTTTCTAAAACTATTCTCCACTCTTTGGAGGTAAGTAGTGCATTTTGTAAATATTGCACATTCTCCCAGTTAGGATTATGAGTAGTGTAAATGGAGAACACATTTTCCATCCTCCTTGGGTCACCCCAGTAGGTAAGCATGTTATCCTTCCAATGGTATAGGTCAGAGACTGAGAATGGCACGTGTACCCACACAGGTCCCGCTGGCTGACCCTGGGCATTGATTCTGCCAATGGGTACTTGCCTAATGGAATTGCCCTACCTCAACCAGAGTGGCTCCCTGACGATATTGAGTGCCCTGTCAGGTGTGTGAAGGAGAGAGCACTCCTGGCCTGTTTACGTCACTATTATTCCCCAGTCCAGCCAGGGTAATAGGGGCTCCCATTCCTGCCTGAGCAGGGGGGCGGGGCCATTGCTCTGGCTTCCATATCTCGCCCCCCATAAGGTGGAGAGATAGGATTGGTGCATTCATTTGTTGAAGTAGTAAGTCATCTTCTGATTTTTGAGAACCGGGTAAAACCTTTACCTCTTTCACCTTAGAGGCATTTCTTTCAACCATGATTCTATGCAAATTATACCTTCTTTGAATTAGCTCACTTTGGTACAAAAGCATAAAAGCTTGTACATTCAGAATTTCATCCCATTTACCTTCTTGTTCACAAAACAATTCTAATTGAAAAATTATAATGTAATTTAGATATCTAAATTCTGGCTACCATTCCCTGGATCCTAGGGGATACCGTGGTCAGGCAGAATTTCAACATTAAAAACATTTTTCTTTTTCATGGGCTCAAAGCTAAAAATGGCCCGATTCTGCAGAATGCACCATAATGGGCTACAAGGAGGAACATAATTTGTAGTTTCCATTTTAGATGACAAGACCTTAGGTGAAAAACCCTTAATGCCTCAGCTGGGCTTTAGGCAGATTGTCAAGCAAGCAAATCAAAATCAAAATGTGATTTCTCAAAGTCTCCATCCCTTCAGTTGCTTATGGAGTATTCCCTACTAAACACACTATGATGAAGCAGAGTCCCGTAAATTGCCAAAGCAAGGCCAGATGTCCTGCCAATGCAGAACGTAGTGTTTGAAGAAAATATACCTTGGGGCTATTGCCCACAAATTTGTCACCTGCCAAAAAATGTCTTCCCAGCCAAGTGTCTCATTTCTAATGCTGCAAAAGTAAAAGCAACACAAGCCAGTGATGCCTTGGTGGCAGCCAAATACACAGATCCATCCCTGAATAAAATAATTCAGGCAGCTACTGGACAGGGTCCAAGGGTGCTCATAGCCAGGGGCTGATATGCTATTGGCAAGACACCCACTCAGGGCTTTTGAGTTGTGGCCAAGTGTTATTGAACTGAACTGGAGTTGTCTTGCCCATCACAGTAAGATCAGATATCCACACTGAGGTTTGCAGTGGTGGAAAGGAAGACATTTATTTGCAGGGCACTAAGCAAGGAGGATCAGGCAGCTAACGCTCAAATCCAGAGCTCCGTGATGGCTTGCAGGTAAGGGCTTTTAAAGGTAGGAGTAAATTTCAGGAAAGCAGAAGTTACAGGCTAATTCATAAATCATTACACAGAGGTTACCCATTGGTTTTGGCCTAAAAGGGTGGGATATCTTGAAGTGAGGGCTTACAGGCCATAAGTAGGTTCAAAGGTCTTTTGGTTTGCAGTTGGTTAAGCAAGAGAAGCTTTGTTTAAAATTTTTGGGTCAGCAGAAAAGAATATTAGCTCTGACAGATGGATGTGATTTCCTCCAGGCCCCTCATGAAGAAGTTTGGAACAAAGAGTGGTGGTCAGAGTTCAGTCCTCAGCTCCCCCTTTTCTGGGGTCTGCATGCCAGCTGATCAGTTTGGTGGGGATCCAAGTTTCTGAAAAACAACTCAGAGATATATGTTAACATGTTATCTTTAGTTTCTATAGGGAAAGAAAACATCCTGTGATTGTAGCTTCCTTGGCTGTTGTTTTAAGCTATTACCTTCTTGCTTATCAACTTGCTTATTTACTTCTCAGGGCTAGCTAGGTGCCTGGCATTGCCCCTGAAAGAACTCAACATTTTCCTTTATTTATATGCTTAAGGGGGCCTGCAGACCCCTGAGACGGGGTCCCTGCTCCATCTCACTTTCCTCATTGTGTATTCTTGGCAGCTTTGTTGAAAATTAATTGTCCATGTATGCTACTGTATGATCCAGCAATTCCACTATGGATAGATATCCTAAGCAAATAAAATCACTATCTCTAAGTGGTATCTGGACTCTCTTGTCCATTTCAGCATTATTCACAATAGCTAAGATAAGAAAACAACCTAAGTGACCACTGACAGATGAATGGATAAAGAAAATGTTTTTTATATATCTATATTATATATATTATATATAATATATATAATATATTATATATAAATGTCTTATATATATTTTTATATAATATTTAATATATAATATAATATATATTATATAATATATATTTTATATATTATATATATTATATATTATATATATATTATATATAATATATATAATATATATTTATATATATTTTATATATAATATATATAACATATATTTATATATATATTATTTATATATATTATATATATATTTTATATATATTATATAGTATATGTATTATATATTATATATATTATATATAATTTTCTTTATTATATATATTATATATAATATGAATATACTATATATTCATATCATATATTATATATTCATATTATATATATAACATATATATGTTATATATATAACATATATATGTTTTATATATGTTTTATTTATATATATATATATATATATTCACAAGCAGCCTTAAAAAAAGAAGGAAATGCTGCCCTTGGCAATAACATGAATGAACCTTGAGGATATTATGCTAAGTGAAATAAACCAGACACAGGAAGCCAAACATTGCATGCTCTTGTATGTGAAATCTTTTTTTGTTTGTTTTTTGAGACAGGGTCTCATTCTGTTGGCCAGGCTGGAGTGCAGTCACAGCTCAGTATAGCCTCAACCTCCCGAGCTGAAGCAATCCTCCTACCTCAGCCTCAGGAGTAGCTGGGACCACAGGCATGTGCCATCACACCCAGACACTTTTTAAATTTTTTTTGTAGAGACAGGGGTCTCCTTATGTTGCCCAGGCTGGTCTCGAACTCCCAGGCTCAAGGCATCCTCTTGTATCAGCCTCCAAAAGTGCTGGGGTTACAGATGTGAACCACTGCAGCCAGCCATATGTGAAATCTTTAAAAAGTGAACGTCAGGCCAGGCGTGGTGGCTCACACCTGTAATCCCAGCACTTTGGGAGGCCCAGGCGTGCGGATCACGAGGTCAGGAGCTTGAGACCAGTCTGGCCAACATAGTGAAACCCCGTCTCTACTAAAAATACAAAATATTAGCCGGGTGTGGTAGTGTATGTGCGCCTGTAATTCCGGCTACTCAGGAGGCTGAGGCAGGAGAATCGCGTGAACCCAGGAGTCAGAGGTTGCATTAAGCCGAGATCGCACCATTGCACTCCAGCCCGGGCAACAGTGGGAGATTCCATCAAAAAAAAAGAAAATGAAAAAGAAAGTGAAACTCACAGTAACAGAGCAGAGAGTATAATGGCAGTTATCAAGGGCTAGGGTATGAAGAAAAGGGGAGATATTAGTCAAAGGGTACATACCTTCAGCTATAAGATGAATAAGTATTGGAAACCTAATGTATAGCATGGTGACTCTAGTTAATAATACTGTATTGTACTTGAAGTTTGGTAAGAAAGCAGGTGTAAGTTCGGTAAGAAGGTATGTGTCTCGTCACACATACAAAAAAAGTAACTATGTGAAATGGTGGATATGTTAGCTCATTGTGGTAATCATTTCACAATGCATACATATATTCAAACATCACATTGTATGCCCTAAGTATATACATTTTTATTTGTCAATCATACCTTAATAAAGTTTGGGAGGAAAAGAATCACAGGACTTAATGAGAGATAATTTATTTGAAAGGCTTCTTGCAACTGGGGGAGGGGATGTTTCAATCGGGTGTCCAACTGTCAGTTCCACAAGCAACTCAAGGGTCAGGCAAAAAGGAGCTTTAAAAAAAAAAAAAAAAAGAGGTCGGGGGGAGGAGCAAACAAGCCTAGAAAGAACTTGGTGTGAGGATGTGGAATGACCAGATATTAGATCAGAGAATGTTCTACCTGGGACCAGCCTATGAGAAGGGCCTGTTAAGGTTATCTGCTGGCTCAGACTAAAGGTGGGCCAAATTTCAGGAGTCTGGAGAAAGAAGAGAAGCTACCTAAACTTTGGCTAACAAGCATTTTTTTTTTTAATCTCGCTCTGTCTCCAGGCTGGAGTGCAGTGGCGCCATCTCAGCTCAGTGCAACCTCCACTCCCAGGTTCAAGCGATTCTCCTGCCTCAGCCTCCCAAGTAGCTGGGACTATAGGCACGTGCCACCACGCCCAGGTAATTTTTGTATTTTTAGTAGAGACAGGGTTTCACCATGTTGGCCAGGATGGTCTCGATCTCTTGACCTCGTGATCCACCCGCCTCGGCCTCCCAAAGTGCTGGGATTACAGGTGTGAACCACCGCGCCCAGCCACAAGAGAACGAGCAGTTCAGTTTATCATTTATTAAGTAAAGAATGGCAATTTGGAGGGTCTCGTGTCTGGCATTGTCATACATAAACACGGGTGACATCCCCTAAGTCTTATCTAAGTCATATGGAAAGGAGGGTTCTTTGCAGGAAGCTGTTTTCTGGAACACAAAGGGCTGAGGGTTTCTTAACCTTCACTGTTTTCCAGGATCACAGGGCTCAGGAAAAATTCAACATTGTCACTATCCCCAATAACTTTTTTTAAAGAAAAGTGCTATGGTTTGAATGTGTCCCCCAGAGTTCATGTGTTGGAAACTTAATCCCCAATACAACTGTTGAGAAGTGGGACCTTTAAGAGGTGATTAGGTGAGGAGGACTCTGCCAGTGTGAATGGACAAATGCTGTTATCTCGGGAGTGGATTTGTTATTGTGGGAGTGAGTTCCTGATTTTTTTTTTAAAAAATGAGTTTAGGCCCCTTTCTTCTCTTTCTTTTGCTCACTCTTACACATGCTTTCACGTCTTGATGCCTGCATGCCAGGCCCTCAGCAGGTGCAGCCCCTTGATCTTAGAGTTCTCAGCCTTCAGAAACATGAGCTAAATAAATTCCTGTTCATTATATGTTACCCAGTCTCAGGTATTTGATTATAGAAGCACAAAACAGACTGAGACAGAAAAAAGAGAGAGAGAGAGGAAGCTAGTCTTCTAGTGAGAAATAGAATGAATTGAAGTATACGTCTGGCCAGGGGAGCACCCAGTAGCCCAGAGGTGACTGAGGCAGAACCTCTTTCCAAAACATCACCTTCTGTGATGTTGTGATACCAGGCAGCTAAGCAATGGCTTTCAGCACTATTTTCTCCTTGTCACATGAAGGAGATTGATTTAATGGGCTCTGAATTGTCTTTTTTTTTTTCCAGACAGGATCTCGGCCAGGCACGGTGGCTCACACCTCTAATCCCAGCACTTTGGGAGGTCGAGGTGGGTGGATCACGAGGTCAGGAGATCGAGACCATCCTGGCTAACACAGTGAAACCCTGTCTCTACTAAAAAATACAAAAAATTAGCCGGGCGTGGTGGCGGGCGCCTGTAGTCCCAGCTACTCGGGAGGCTGAGGCAGGAGAATGGTGTGAACCCAGGAGGTGGAGCTTGCAGTGAGCCGAGATCGCGCCACTGCACTCCAGCCTGGGTGACAGAGTGAGACTCCTTCTCAAAAAAAAAAAAAAAAAAAGACAGGCTCTCACTTTGTTGCCCAAGCTGGAGTGCAGTGGTGTGATCTGGGTTCACTGCCACCTCTGCTTCCCAGGTACAAGCGATTCTCGTGCCTCAGCCTCCTGAGTAGCTGGGATTACAGCTACTCAGCTACTCAGATTACACACCCAGCTGATTTTGGGATTTTTAGTAGAGACGGGGTTTCGCCATGTTGGCCAGGCTGATCTCAAGTGATCTGCCCACCTTGGCCTCCCAAAGTGCTGGGATTACAGGTGTGAGCCACCACACCTGGCTGAAGAAGGTGATATCTGCAAATATCTTTCTCAGTGACCATAAATTTAAAATGTTGTCCGCTTTTAACATATTTATTAAAACAGTACCAGAAAAAGCCTTTTCTTTTTTAATCACAGAGAAAGAAAAACAAATATATTCTGTCACTAAAGGTCCACAACTTCTGGCCCTGAAATGTAATCATAGGCTTCAGACCCTTGCTCCACACAGCCTGGGCAGGGATATGCAGCAAGTAACCTAGCTTTCAGTGGAACCATCCCTGCCTCAGATCTCTTCACGCATTTTTTTAAGATTACCAGGGGATTTGTGTGCACCTTGAAGTGTGCTACCTGTGCCGCACCCACACCCTTTTCTGGAACAGTACTTTCGGGCCGCTGCAAGCCGCAGGACCTTCCCTCTGTGGAAGAAACCTGCTTTGGGAAACGACAGGAAGCAGTTTGGGTACTAGGTGCGTAATGTTTGGTCGTGAAATCAGGAGAATAATGGGAGAATGGAATATTTTCAGTCATCTGGCTCTCAGTGAGCAGCGAAAAAAAACTAATGCCCTTGTGAAATGCAGGCAGTAGCTGTATTTTTTGCCCTCCTCCCCTAGAACAGTCCAATAAAAAATAAACGAGGGCTATGACTCGTTTATAAGGGCGCTCACGTGGCCTATACGTTGCACTGGGTGATTTGCACCCGGCCCTTCACCCATGGGCTTGGGACGCCACAGCTCCCCTCCAATGAGGAAGAGCCACAGTGGCTGCTGGGCCAAATGGCACGTGGCGAGCCTGGCTGCCACCGTCGTCGGCACGGGGGTGGGTGGGGTGAGGAACCACCTTGCAGGAAGTAGGAGGGTTTATGTCACCAGTGCGCAACCGTGAGCGGGCCGTGTGCAGTTCCGCTCATGGGGTAGGGGGGCGGTCGTCACCAGACAACCTCTTCCCGCCACAGCCTCGTGGCGCAGTCAGCACGGAGGCGGCAGCCGCCATAGACGTGTGGTGGTCGCGCTGCGCGGGAACTCCGGCTTGGAGGCACCTCCGGCAGGTACGGAGCTGGACCCCGGGCTCGGACAGCAACCCAGATTACGGGGGAACCCCCCAGTAACTCTTGCTATTTTCCACGGGGTCTAGGGGCTGGTGGCCATAGGTTTCCCTGGAGGCGGGATCCCACTAGATCACACCCAGCACGCCAAGGAATCCCTGCCATTTCCAGGCAGAACTTCAGGGAGACCTGGCCGGGCGCGGTGGCTCACACCTGTAATCCCAGCACTTTGGGAGGCCGAGGCGGGTGGATCACCTGAGGTCAGGAGTTGGAGACCAGCCTGGCCAACATGGGGAAACCCCGTTTCTACTAAAAATACAAAAAGTAGCCGGGCGTGGTGGTGTACGCCTGTAATCCCAGCTACTCAGGAGGCTGAGGCCGGAGAATCACTTGAACCCAGGGGGCGGAGGTTGCAGTGAGCCGAGATACGCTACTGCACTCCAGCCTGGGTGACAAAGCCAGACTCCGTTTCAGAGAAAAACAAACAAACTTCAGGGAGACCTATTCCACCCTTGACCTGCCCGGAGACACTGCAGTCAGGATAGTAGCTCTTGGCCCTTGCCCTTGAGGGAAAGTGGCTTCGAACCTTCCCCTCCTAGATTCTGCCTGCTTCCACTGATGTCGGTGGTGTGGGTGTATGTAGATAACCGGGTGGGGATTGGGGGGAGCAGGGGAATGGAGGTAGGGGATTTGGGGATATCAGTTAGACTTGCCTCGGGGTAGGAGTTGGACTTGGTGAGGGGGCAGGGCTTGGGGTAGGAGTTGGACTGTGGGTGGGGGCAGGGCTTGAGGCACGAGTTAGACTTGGGTGGTGGAAGGGGTTAGACTTGGTGGGGGGCTAAGCTTGGGGTAGAGGTGCAACTTAGTTATAGGCAGAGTTTGGCAGCAGGGGTGCAGGTTTTGAGGTGGGGCTTAGGAAGGGTTGCAACATGGCTGTAGGGGCGGAGCTTGGGAGGGAATGGAGTTTGCAGTGGGGGTAGGGCAGCAACCTTACCTTAGGATCCCTTCTGCCCTACCAGCAGCCCCCCTGCCCCCACCCCCTACCTCCCTCCTCACCTCCCACCCCTCTCACCATTCGTCCCCCGACTCCTCCCCCCGCTCCGCTCCCTCTGTCAGTTGAGCAGTTTCTTCTATCCCTGCACCAGGGTCCTAGTGAACACCTATGCAGAGTCTGAATTGGCATGGCCTGGGCAGGGACATGTGTGTGGGACAGAATCACAGCAAAATACCTCTGCTTTGCCTTGGACAGATCCAGTGAAGCAGGACCCATCACGCCTGAGTCAGGAACTGCCTAACTGGATAGAGTTGAAAAGCAGAGCGAGTCTGAAGTGGCTGTGTTATTGCAGCATCCGCGCTGCCAGCAGGGCCAACCCAGCAAGGTGAGCAGCTGTGAGTTGGGCCCTGTTGGGAGGGGCTCTGGAACCCTGGCAAAGAGTGGGGAGAGGGGACTGCCTGCCAGGGTTCACAGACTCTGCAGGGTAGGGCCATCTCTAGGGCAAGAGTTGTTGGTTTCCTGCAGTCTGGCAGTGGGGACCTTATCTGGGTCCCTTTTCTGCCTGATTTCAGCTTCCACACAATTGAAACCATGAGCTCCTGTCCTTTCAGCACTCACTCCTCATGCCCATCTCGCCTTCCCTCTCCCACCCTCCTTTTTGCTAGTACGCTTTATTGGTTGGAGGCCAATGACATCACCTGTTGCTTTTCAAGGACCTTGGCCTTACCACATGACACTCCCCTGCAATAGCAACCCATGGTCCATGGTATTCTCTGTATCCATGGCAACACTGCAGCTTGTCACACAATCTCCACACCCACCACTCTCATTGCATTGCGCAGAGCTCAGCCATCTTTCTCATCCGTCAGGCATTCCTGAGAAAGAGGGCCACTCTACCTCTCTTGCTGCCAGCCTTCACTCCAGCAAGGAGGGTGCTGGGTGACCTGAGCCCACATAGCCCCGAGTGAGCAGTGAGGCTGTCTCCTGCCCTCTTCTGCCTGGAGGGCTCGTCAGTGTCCCCAGGTGTCAGGCCCTGCCTCCTGACGTTGGCCTTTTCACTACAGGCACCCGAAGCACACACAGCAGAGTCCTCTGGACTTTGAGGAAGAACCCACAGCAGGAGGAAGTCAGCAGGGAGTGGTGAGATGGGGAGATCTTTGCCTGGGGAGAACCTCCACACTCTACCCTCCCCAAAATGACTTGGGGAACCCTGGGAAGAAAGGACTCCATCCCTGCTTGGGGGTGGGGGCAGAGGAGGGGTGCTTGGGGGCGTAGGTTGGGGTGGGCATTAACAATGCTCTCATCCCATTTGCTTTGCAGGCTGTGTGAAACCTGGGACCACTTCTGCCTTCCTACGTGGCAGTGGCTCAGAGTTATTTGAGTGCTGTCAAACTGAGCTGATTGCTGCCCTAGTATTAGATCAGTCCATAGAAAGTGGGAGCAATGGCACTGACACTGCTAGAGGATTGGTGCAAGGGGATGGACATGGACCCCAGAAAGGCCCTGCTGATTGTAGGCATCCCCATGGAGTGTAGTGAGGTGGAAATTCAGGACACTGTGAAGGCAGGCTTACAGCCCCTGTGCGCATACAGGGTCCTAGGGAGAATGTTCAGGAGGGAAGACAATGCCAAGGCAGTCTTCATTGAACTGGCTGACACTGTCAATTACACTACTCTGCCCAGTCACATACCAGGAAAGGGTGGCTCCTGGGAAGTGGTGGTAAAACCCCGTAACCCAGATGATGAGTTTCTCAGTAGACTGAACTACTTCCTGAAAGATGAGGGCCGAAGTATGACAGATGTGGCCAGAGCCCTGGGATGTTGCAGCCTCCCTGCCGAGAGCCTGGATGCAGAGGTCATGCCCCAAGTTAGATCCCCACCTTTAGAGCCTCCGAAAGAAAGTATGTGGTACAGGAAACTGAAAGTGTTTTCGGGAACTGCTTCCCCTAGCCCAGGCGAAGAGACCTTTGAAGACTGGCTAGAGCAGGTCACTGAGATAATGCCCATATGGCAAGTGTCTGAGGTGGAGAAGAGGCGGCGTTTGCTGGAGAGCTTACGTGGGCCTGCTCTGTCAATCATGCGGGTGCTCCAGGCCAACAATGACTCCATAACTGTGGAGCAGTGCCTTGACGCCCTAAAGCAGATCTTTGGGGATAAAGAGGACTTTAGAGCCTCTCAGTTTAGGTTTCTGCAGACCTCTCCGAAGATTGGAGAGAAAGTCTCCACTTTCCTGCTGCGCTTAGAGCCCCTGCTGCAGAAAGCCGTGCACAAGAGCCCCTTGTCAGTGCGCAGCACAGACATGATTCGTCTGAAACATCTCTTAGCTCGGGTCGCCATGACCCCCGCCCTCAGGGGCAAGCTGGAGCTCTTGGATCAGCGAGGGTGTCCTCCCAATTTTCTGGAGTTAATGAAGCTCATTCGAGATGAAGAAGAGTGGGAGAACACTGAGGCAGTGATGAAGAATAAGGAGAAGCCATCAGGGAGAGGCCGGGGGGCCTCCGGTAGACAGGCAAGAGCAGAAGCCAGTGTCTCTGCACCTCAGGCCACCGTGCAGGCAAGGTCTTTTAGCGACAGCAGCCCCCAGACCATACAGGGAGGCTTACCCCCATTAGTGAAACGCAGGCGGCTGTTAGGCAGTGAAAGCACTAGGGGAGAAGACCATGGCCAGGCCACGTATCCCAAGGCTGAAAACCAGACTCCAGGCAGGGAGGGGCCACAGGCTGCAGGAGAGGAGTTGGGAAACGAGGCAGGGGCTGGGGCCATGAGCCATCCCAAGCCCTGGGAAACATAGGCTCAGAAGACCGAAGCACTCCTTCCCCTGGCAGGCAGCAGGGACATTTGAACAAGGGGAAGGGGCAGCTTACACTAACAGGGAACTTGACTGGGGCAGAGGGACAGGGAAGCCAGGTCGAGATCAAGCCCCCTTACTTTCCACCAGCTGGAAGGGACTTCACCAACCAAGACCAAATAGCATCTGGTTCAGTGGGGGCCGGGCCCATAGCCCCTAACAGGTACAGGAGACACAAGCGGGGAACCACTACACTTAGCACATGGGGTGCCTGGGCTTCAGATGGGGACCCCAGCGAAGCAGGGGCTGAAGAAGGTGTGGCTGGGGGCTCTGGCCTGGTCCTCTGGACACCCCCAAATATCTACCCTGTGGACTTTGAGCTGAGCATGCCCACTGGCACCCAGGCCACGTGGGACCTGGAGGAGCCTGCCTGGGGCCTGCCTCTGCCAGAAGGAGCCAGGGCTGCTGAGGAAGAGCTGTGGGGCAGAAGTGAAGCCCCGCAGGGGAGGCCACAGGGTCCAGCCTGTCTTTAGGATCATCTACACTGCATGAGGGGAGCCCCAGGAAGGCAGCATTCATAAGCCCCTGCACCAGTGAGGAAGAGAAAGAGGAGGAGAATTAAGAAGAGGATGATCGGGAGGAGGAAGAGGAGAATAAGGAGGAGCAGGAGGAAGAGGGGGAGGAGAAGGAGGAAGAGGGGGAGGAGGAAGAGGGGAAGGAGGAGGAAGAAGTGTAAGAAGAGAAGAGAGGATGTGTTGGGGGTGGGTAGTTGTTTTTGGTTTGCGTCATCATCAGGCCCGGGCTCTGCTCACTGCTGTTCCGTGTCAAGAACTCCACCTCTGCTTTGCCGGTGTAGATCTCGGCCAGTGGCTGCTTGTTCTCTTGGGGATGTGTGTGTTTTTATCTGAGCAGCTCCTTTCCAGAGTACCCCAGCGCAGTTCCAGGAGACGGTGGGAAGGAGGCATGGCAGACGCTCACCTTGTGACTGTGACCTCGACTGCAGGAGGACCAACCAGACACGGGAAGGAGCAGGGCTGCCTGAGGCTCCCCAGGAAGCTTTGTGCTTTGGCGTTCCACCCCTGCTGTTACTCGTGACTCAGTTTCCTCAACTTGGTGGGGTGTTCCCTGCTATGTTTTCCAGCATCCTGTGACTGTCCTGTGCAGTCTATAGGGCAGGGCCCTGCCCCAGCGGGTGGGCTCAGGAGGGGGTTCCCTGAAGCGAGTACACATTGCCAGAGCCCACCATCCTGGCAAGAGGTGGATCCTGGGGCCCTATGGAAGGAGGGATGTGGTGGGGGGGGCCACACTGAGGGAGGGGCCGGGGACTTGTGACCTGTAGTGGCTGTTTGCAGTTTCTCTCTGTGTTAGATTCCCTTTTCTTCAGCAGTTTCAGTTCATGTTTCTCTTCAGTAAATTTTGTTCAGTGTTCCAGTGGTGTCTTGCCTCTGCTGTGTGAAACTGGGGTGGGAGGTGGTCTGCTGGGGATGGGGCCACAGTGGCCAGGCTGACATCGAGGTGTGTGTGGGGCAGGGTCTATGAGGGCCTGTGGGGTGCCTTGGGCTGCATGGAGCCTGGCAACAGGATGCTGGTGGTCATGAGCAGTGACTGGCTGGGTACCAAAGGCACTCCAGGTGTCCTCAGGAATAAGTGACTTGGACATTGAAGGCTGGGCAAGGGGCAGCAGGTGGGTCCCAGGCCCCTGATCCCTGGCAGCACTGTAGGGGTGTGGCTCAAGGCTTCCGGAAGGGTCAGAGAGGCCACGTGTGCAACCAAGGCCAGCAACCGAGGTCAGAGAAGAGCCCCAGGAGGGCCTGGACAGGCAGTCAGAGGCCCTGTGAAGAGCTGTGTGCAGGACTCGGGGTGGGGTAGGGGCTGGTGTGTGCCCATCCTCCCAGATCAGCCCGCAGGTGGCCAGCCTTGGCCTAGCCACTGAGGGATGTTTGGGGACAGTGTGTGTGTGATGGCCAAGGGGACAGAGTGTGGGCGAGAAAGGGATCCCAAGTGCTCATGTCTTGGGGAGGGGGAGAGGAAGGGCGGGGGAGCTGCACTTCATCCTGGGTCCTGTCCTGCTCCCTTCCCAGTGTACTGGGAGGCGCTCTACTCCTGTGTCCTGGGAGCAGGCAGTGGGCCATGAGCAGGAAGCCTAGATGGCCCTGGGGAGTGACCCCTTTCTGTCCTGCATCCCCGAGGCCCTCTGAGCCCTGGATGCTGCCTGAGGAGGGCTCCCTCAGGATGGACGGCGCTGCTAATCCAGACACCCCTCCTTCAGCACTGTGGCCAGAGGGGCAGTTCTTGGTGGGGGCCTGAGGATCCTGGAACCCGCCCTCCTGAGCCCTCCTGGGACTGGCTCTCTCTCCCAACAGGCCAGGGAGCTCGCCACAAATGGAGGGTAGTCCTCGATCAGCCATTTAACTAGCCCAGAGTCTGTGGGCGACAGAACTGGGACAAGTGATAGGCCCCTCCCTGCACATGTGTGGGGAGGGGACGGGATCATTGACTTGGACGTGGCGAGGGTCTCCCGGGGCTCACTCAGTCTGTGTCCACACACTTCCTCCGGCTGTTCTGGAGCACAGAGCCTCCGGCCATCCCCATGGCTCAGATGATAGCCAGGCTCCCCCAAAGCAGCCTCAGAGCCAATGCTGGGAATGGGTGGCTGCCCACCTGGGCTGAGGAATCCTGGATCTAGGCGACCTGTCTGCTTGAGCGGAGCTGCAGTCAGCAGGTCTGCAGGGCGGCAGGGGCCCTGGGAGACACTCGGCATACACAGGCCAGTGCAGGCATGGGAGGGGTAGTTTTGCGGGGCTGTCGGGGAGGGGCAGGGGGCGGCAGGTCTCTGGGGCTGGGCCTGCAGCCTCCCCGGCCTGAAGGTGCTTAACCGGTGTCTCAGGGACCCTTGTAGTGTGTCCCATCGGGGTGCCCTGCAGGCATGCCTGGGGCCCCCACTGTGCTCTGTTCTCCCTGCCTTCTTCAGGCTGGGCACAACCCCAGCATGTCCGTCCCTTGTGTCTCAGCAGGGCCAAGTCAACTGCTCACTTTCCAAGGGCCCCTCCAGATTTTGGGGACAGGGCAAGAGGAGAGGGCATAGAGCTTGGCTGACCTTGCCAGGGCCTGTCAGGGCTCCTTGGTTTTCCCTGTTCAGAGTGGACCTGTGTGTGCCGTGATTCCCAAGCAGGTGTGAGTGTGAGTGAGCGGGTGTGTTTGAGCGTGTGCGTGTGTGTGTCAGTGTGAGCATGTGCATGAGTTTCTGAGAATGTGTGTGAATCCAAGTGACAGAATGTGACTGCATCACTGAGCGTGTGTGAGTGGGAGGGTGTGGGGGAATGAGGCTGTGCCATTGAAGGTGAGCATGCATGTCGCTGAATGTGTGTGACACTGTGAGTGTGTCAGTGTGTGTCAGTGTGTGTGTGAGTTTGTGAGTCATTGTGCGTGCGTGCGCTGACTGCAAATGTGGGTGTGTCAATGAGCAGGCATGAATGCGTCATTCAATGTGTGTTTGTCACTCAATGTGTGTGCGCATGTGAGTGTGTCTGGAACATGAGTGTGTGAGTGAATGTGTGTGTGACTGTGTCAGTGGGCATGTGAGCACACAGGCTGGACAGTTGGGTTGTGAAACCCGGAAGGGATCTAGCCAGGGAGTCTGGAAGGAGGTACCGGGAGAAACCAGTTGCTTCCCCACCAGCCCAGAGCAAGGAGACTTTGTCGGGCCTGAAGGACGGGCCCCCCCGGGGGGCCACCTGTCCCCTTCATCCCAGCCAGGCCCTTGGTGCGTGCCAGCTGGCAGAGCTCCTACCATGCATTGTGTTTTGCTGCACAGTCCTCAACAAGTGCCCCTGAGGAGGGCGGCATGTGTGGCCTGGGGACAGAAAGGTCCATCAAGGTGCCTTCCTGGGTGCCCAAGGGCTGACCAAGCCCATCCAATAAGCAGCAGCCTCCTGGGCTCACAGAGGGCTTGAGCGGTGGATGAGGGAGCTGGATCAGAGCCCAATCATGGGGGTGAGGCTGAGCAGAGAGGACTCAGAGAAGTCCCGTCCTCAGGACTGTCCCGGAGTAGACAAGACTGAGAGGGGTCCCATCCTAAGGCCTGTCCCCTCAGCAGGGAGGACTGAGAGAGGTCCCGTCACCAGGCCTGTGCCTGATCAAAGTGGTCTGAGAGAGGTCTTGTTCTCAGGTCTTTCCCTCGAGCAGAGAGGAGTGAGAGAGGTCCTGTCCACAGGTATACCTCTGAGAAAATGAACTGAGACGGGTGCCATCATAAGACCTGTTCCTTAACGAGAGAGGACTGAGTTGGGTCTCTTGAGCAGACAGGCCTCTCTCCAAACCCTGAGCGGTGGGAACTGGGAAAGGTGCTGTCCTCAGCTCTGTCCCTGATCATAGAGAAATGGCAGAGGTCTCATTTTCAGGCCTGTTCCATGAGCAAAGAGGACTGAAAGAGGTCCCATACTCAGGTGTCCCCTGTGCAGAACAACAGAAATGTCTGACAGAGTACAACCCGCAGGTCTCTTTCTGATCAGAGAGGACTGAGAGAGGTCCCATCTTCTAGTCTGTCCCCTGAGCAAACAAAACTGAGAGGTCTCATCCTCAGGCGTCCCCTGAGCAGGAAGACTGAGAGGAGTCCTGTCCTCAGACCCATCCCTGGGCAGAGAGTCATAAGAGAGGTCCTGTCCACAGGCCCATCCTCTGTGTAAGAGGTCAGAGAGGGATCCCATCCTAAGGTCTGTCCCCTTAGCAGAGAAGACTGACAGCGGTCCTGTCCTCAGGCCTGACCCTGAGTAGAAAGCAGTGGGAGAGGTGTCCCCGGGCAGAGAAGACTGAGAGAGATGCTGTCTTCAGGTACCTGAGGCTTAGTGGGCAGAGAGAGGTCCTGTGCTGTGGCCTGTCTTCTGAGCACAGTCGACTGAGAGAGGTCCCATTCCCATATCTATCGTAGAGAAAAGAGGACTTAGAGGGGTCCTGTCCTCAGGCCTGTCCTTTGAGCAGAGAGGACTGAGAGAGGTCCTGTCCTCATATCTATCCCCTAAGAAGATGGACCGACGGGGGTCGCATCTTCAGGCCTGTCCCCTGAGCTGAGGGGGCTGAGAGGGTTCCTCTCCTCACACCTATCCCCTCAGATGATGGACCGACAGAGGTCCCAAACTCAGGTCTGTGTCTAGAGCAGAGAGGACTGAGAGATGTCCTGTCCTCATACGTATCCACTTAGAAGATGGACAGAGAGGGGTCCCATCCTCAGGTCCGTCCCTTGAGCAGAGAGGACTGAGAGAGGTCTGGACCTCACATCAATCCTCTTAGAAGATAAAACGATTCGGGTCACATTCTCAGTCCTGTCCCTTGAGCAGAGAGGACTGAGAGAGGTCCTGTCCTCACATGTATCCCCTTAGAAGATGGACTGACAGCAGTCCCACCCTCAGGCCTGTCCCCTGAGCTGAGGGGATGGAGAGAGGTCCTGTCCTCATATTTATCCCATCAGAAGATGGACCGACAGGGGTCCCACCCTCAGGCCTGTCCCCTGGGCTGAGGGGACCGAGCGAGGTCCTGTCCTCATATCTATCCTCTTAGAAGATGGGCCGAGGTGGGTCCCACCCTCAGGCCTGTCCCCTGAGTTGATGGGACTGAGAGAGGTCCTGTTCTCTTATCTATCCCCTTAGAAGATGGCCCAACAGGGGTCCCATCCTCAGGCCTGTCCCCTGAGCTGAGAGGACCAACAGAGTTCCTGTTCTCCTGTTTGCTGAGTGACATGTATGTGGAGAGGTGTCCCTTTATGAATTGCTCCTGAGTAGAGAGTACTGAGTGAGGTCATGTCCTAAGATCTGTCCCCTGAGCAGAGAGGACTGAGAAAACTCCTGCTCCCTCATTGGCTTTGATCAGAGAAGACTGGGAGAGTCGTGGCCTTAGCTCTTTCCCTTAGCAGTGGGGACTGAGTTAGGTCCTGTCTTCAGGTCTGTTTCCTCAGCACAGTGGATTGAGAGAAGTGCCATCCTCGGGCCTTTCACCTGAGCAGAATGAACTAACAGGGGTCCCATCCTCGGGTCTGCCCCTGAGCAGAGAGGACTGACAGGGGTGCCGTCCTCAGGCCTGTGCCCTGTCCTTCTATGGATAGCACCCCGGGGTCTGTGGCGGGCCAGCATATTTTGTACTTAATTTTAGGCTCATCTGAGAACCTGTCGATTCACTACCTTGTAAGGTAAGTCTATGTCCCATTGCAGTTGGTTGGGAATGACAAGTCCAACCTAGGGGCATGGCCGGGACCCCCTGCTGCTTCTCCCACAGGATCCAGCACCCTCTGTGGCCTTTCTGGACTCCCGACGTCCACCTGTTCCTGGCCTGGGATCACCTCCTCTTGGTGAGCTGTGTGGCAGCTTCATTTTTCTGAAGATGAAGACGCCACAGAGCAGTCACTTTCCCAGCCACTCCCATGGCAGGGTGCCAGGAGGAAGGTCACGCCCTGGGCAGTCTGGCTCTAGATGGGCTCTGGGAATGGGCCCTCTGGCTGCCAGACACAGGAACAGGGCCTGGCACAGAAGAGTGAGACCCCTGGGGGCCACCCTTTTCCCAGCCCTCAGTCTGTGGCAGGTCAGGTATCACTAACACAGGCCTCCACAACAACTGCTTCAGCACTGACCGAGTGGTAAAGTTAAATATTAAAAGCTGAAAGAGCCAGCACCCTTATACAAAGGCTTGAATGTAAGAAAAGCCCACCAAGAGTTTTGCCTAGACCTTTCCTGGGCCTTGAAACATGACAAAGTAATGAAGGAATTTTTCACAGGACCCATTTAGGATTCAACACATTTTATTGAAGGTCTGAAGAAACTCACCAGGCCTCCACAAACAAGCTTTATTGGAGATTAAAGGAACTCTCCACACCTCCATGATTTAGCAGGAGACAAAATAAGGGTCATCACCCCAGCACCTGGACCCATTTAGATTAAGTCAATTTACTGAGGCTCCAGAGGGAGGCCTTCCGGACTCAGATCTTAGTTCTAGATTAAAACAAGTTAATCACTTATGTCTTTTTAGATGAATGCACACTTACATGTAGACATATAGCTTAGAAGGGATATAAGCTCTGGAAAACTTTGTAATTTTGAGTTGGTCTGGCGATATTTTCCAGGTTTTCTCTCTGTAACCAGTTATAGAAATAAAAACTCTCTTCCTCCCCAGTTCATCTGCATCTCATTATTGGGCCACAAGAAATAGCAGCCCGACCCTCAGTTTGGTCAGGGAACAAGTCCTCTCCCACTGGGCAAGATAATTTGGAAAGAGCCGAATGTGACCTTTTCTCTCTCCCCTTTCTCTTTGCCTGTTCAAATGGCACCACCACCCAGGCCCCGACTCCTTCACCCACAGTGGGTTGTGCAAAGGCCAAAGCAGAGGCACCTGCTGGCTGCTTCCCTGGGCCTGCAGGGCAGACTCTGGTCCCCTGCTGCTGTGGTCCCCTGAGCCATGGGCCCCAGAGGCTCGGCTGGCTCTGGGCCTGGGCTTACACTCTGCCCTCTGAGCTTTTCCCCATCCAAAGACACCCAGCATTTGGGGGCAGCCTCTCTCAAGGCTACTATCTTCCTCCAGACCCTATCCCCTCCTCATGGAGCCCAGAGCAGGGCCTGCCTCCCACGCCTGCAGTCCTGCACACAGTAGTCAGTCCTCTGAGCACTTTGGCCTCTAGCACCTCTGGCTGCCCTGCTCCTGGCCCCAGGTGCCTGCTGACAATGTTGAACGTTACTCAAGCCCTGTGATCCTTGAAAACAGCAATGGTTACAAAATCCCCCCATCCCTCAGTGTTCCAGAAAATGACTTATTGCAAACAAAAAAACAAACAAAACAACAAAAACACTGTTATGGGTGGGCTGAATTTTATTTCCCCCCAAAATCCATATGCTGAAGTCCTAACTCCAGTACCTCAGAATGTGGCCTTGTTTAGAGATAGTCTTTAAAAAGGTAATTAAAGTTAAATGAAGGCATTATGGTGGGCCCCATTACAATATGACAGGTGTCCCTATAGGAAGAAGAAATTTGGACACACAGACAAGGAAGATAATGTGAAGTAAAACAGGAAGAAGATGGCCACCTACAAGCAAAAAAGAGAGGCTTGGAACAGATTCTTCCCTCACAGCCCTCAGAAGGAACCAAGCCTGTTGACACCTTGGTCTTGGACTCCTGGCATCCAAAACTGTGAGAGAATAAATTTCTGTTGTTTAAGACTTTCGTTTTGTAGTACTTTGTTATGACAGGCCTGGGAAACTAACACAATACCCCTTCCCCATAAGACTTAGTTAGGACTCAGGAATGCTCTCCTTGTTTACCTATGACACGGACAGACACAAACCCTCCAAATTCCCATTTGCATTAATCAGAGCACTCCAGAAAAGCAAAACCAGTAGGAGCTGATAGATATATTATTTTGGGAATTGGCACACATGATTATGGAGGCCAACAAATTCTATGATATGCCATCTGCAAGCTGTAGAATAGAGAAAGATGGTGGAATAATTCAGTCCAAGTTCAAAGGCCTGAGATCCAGGGGAGTTTATGGTGTTACTTCTAATCCAAAGCTAAAGGAGTGGGGAGCGCGGCCCATTGGTGTACACCTTGGAGTCTGAAAGCCTTAGATCCAGGAGCTCTGATGTCTGAGGACAGGAGAAGATAGATGTTTCAGCTCAAGAAGAGAGAGAAAGAGAGAATGAGCGAGCGAGAGAGAGAGAGAGAGCGAGAGAAAGAATTTGCTCTCCCTCCATCTTTTTGTTCTATTTGGCCCCTCAAACAACTGGATGATGCCTTCCTACACTGGTGAGGGTGATCTTTATTCATTGTACTGATAGAAATGCTATCTCTCCTGGAAACACCCTCACAGACACACCCAGAAATAATGTTTTTACCAGCTATCTGAGCATCCCTTATCCCAGTCAAGTTGACACATACAATTAACTAGCACATCCCTCTACCTCTCACTCTGTTCTTCTGTTCCACTTCATGGCAAAGCTCAGACTTGTCTATGCCTACCACCCACACTTTCTCAGCTCCCATGCTCTCCTTGATTCTCTGAAACACTGGTTTCACCCATTCTGCTACTGAAAGGACTCAACAAAGTGACCAAACAACCTCAATCTTGATGAATCCAAAGGTCAATTCTCTGTCCTCATCTTATTTACACCAACATCTCAGTAGATTTTGACCCAGGTGACTATTCTTCCCTCATGAAGCACTTTTTCCCCTTGGCTCCTGGGATACCACATGCTTCGGGTTTCCTCCTACTTCACTGGCCTCTCCTGATAGAGTTTTCTGATTCCTCCTTCTCTGCTTGATTCTCCGCAGGACTCAGTGCCCTGGGTCCTCTTCTCTTTACTATCTACATTCACTTCCTTGGTGATCTCAGCCTGTCCATGCTTTCATTATCATTGGCAGGCTGCTTCTAAGCCCAGTTCCCTCTTAAGCTCTAGGCTTATATGTCAAAGTGCCTAACCCACATCTCCACTTGGGCAACAGAACATCTCAATACCAATTTTCCTAACACAAAACTCTGGCTCCCAAGCCACACCATTCAATCAGTGCCAAACTGCTCATAAGCTCACCCAAGATACTGGCATCACCATCTACCCAATTGCTCTGATTCCAAAACTAGACTCAGTTTGTCTTCTTCTCTTTCCCTCATAGATTCATATTCCATTATCAGCAAGTACTGCAGTTCTACTTCCAAATACATGTAAACTCCATCCACTTCTATCTCTACCACTGCCATCATTGTCCAGGCCACCGTCACTGATACTTGCAGTGCAATAGCCTCCTCTCTCTCTCCTCTTGCTCCTCTATAGTCCATTCTCCAAATATAACTCATAGTGATTTTTAAAAATCAGAAATCAAATGACATCATTTCTTTGCTCAGAAGCCATGGATGGCTTCCCATATCACTTAGACTAAAACTCAAACTTCTAACCATGGCCTGCAAACCCTACATGATCTGGCCCCCACTCTGCTGTGTGTTTACCACCCTCTAGCCCCGCTGGCTAGTCCCTCAAACACACCTGGCTCTTAATCTTATCTCAGGGCCTCTGCCCTTACTGGCCCCTCTACCTGGAAAACTTGTGGGAATGGAAATATTCTAGGCCTGTGCTGCCCAACAGGGTAGTCTCTAGCCATGTGTGGTTACTAGGCACTTGAAATGGAGCTAGTGTGACTGAGAAACTGGATTTTAAAAATGTATTTTAGTTGATTTCTATTTAAACACAAGTAGCCTAACGTGGGATGTGGAGACCATATTTAGCATGTGGAGACCAGAGCTCTAGCTCGTTCTGCTTTATAATTTTACAGAACTTGTCTGAAATCATCTATTTTATGCATTCATTTAGTCAACATTTACTGAGCACCTACTATGTGCAGGGCACTATTATAGGCACTGGGAATTCAGCAGTGGAGCAAAAGGACAAAAATCTCTCATGGAGATTTCATTTAAGTAAGGAAATACAAACAATAAAATAAGAAGAAAACATGTAGTATGTTAGATTGTGATAAGTGCTACAGAGAAAAAGCAAGGAAGCAGGTATAAGGAGTGTTATGGGTGTGCACAGAATTTTAAATTGGATGGTCCATGAAGGTGATCAGGAAGAAGGTAGCATCTGAGCAGAGATGTGAAGGACGCAAGGGAGATGGCCACGTGGGCATCTGGGAGATGAGCATTCCAGGCAGAAGAGACAACCAGCACACAGCTCAAGGCCAGAGAATGCCTGGAATGGTATGAGTAAGAAGGAAAGGTGGTGGGGGCTGGATAAAGCAGCACCTGCTTGGCCAGCCACCTTGAGGACTCTGGCTTTTAGTCCAAGTAAAATGAGGCCTGGGGAAGGTATGGAGCAGAAGAGGGATGTGATCGGATTGAAACTCTTCACTCTTGCAGCCATGCTGGGGTACACTTCAGGGTGGGAAGGAAGGAAAGATGATTGCTTAGGTTATTGTAATCATCCACATGGGGGATTAGGGGACAATATGTTTATGGTGAAGGTGGGGAGAAATGGTTTGCCTCTGGATCTGTTTGGCAGGGAGAGTTAACAGGCTAGGCTGATGGGCTGGAAGTGCAGTGGGAGATCAGCAGGTGATGTGTAGGTTTTGGTCTATGCAAGCTGAAGAATGGGACTGCCATTTACGGAGCTGTGGATGGCAATGCATAGAGCATGGCTTCCATGGTTGAGTATGAAATGACAATTAGACTCCCCAGGTGGAAATGAGCTGTGGGAAGTTGAAACACAAGTCTGAAGTTCAGGAAGATGATGTGGGCTGGAGCAGCTGCAATTCCAGAAGGAGGCAGTGTATACTGTATCTGTTGAAGCCTGGACCCCAGTGATACAACGCAGTGAGTGCAGATAGAAAAGCGAAGGGGTCTAAGAACAAAGTCCTAGAGTACTCCAAAGTTGAGAGAATGGGATGATGAGAAAGAACCAGCAATGGAGATAGAAAAGGAGTGACCAGTGAGGTGGAAGGAAAGGCAGAATGGGCCTAGAGGCCTAGCAAAGGGAATGGACCTGATATGGTTTGGCTCTGTGTCCCCATCCAAATCTAATCACGAATTGTAATCCCCACACGTCAAGGGAGGGAGCCATAATTCCCACATGTTGAGAGAGGGAGGTGACTGGATAATGGGGGCAGTTCCCCCCATGCTGTTCTCGTGATAGTGACTTCTCAGAGATGTGATGGCTTTATAAGCGTTGGCATTTCCCCTGCTTGTACTTCTCTCTCCTGCAGCCTTGTGAAGAAGGTGCCTGCATCCCCATCACCTTCTGCCATGATTGTAAGTTTCCTGAGGCCTCCCAGCCATGTGGAACTGTGAGTCGATTAAACCTCTTTCCTTTATAAATTACCCAGTCTCAGGTATTTCTTTATAGCAGTGTGAAAACAAACTAATACATGTCCACTGGACCAAACGCTGCTGCTCAGTCAATGAGGCCTGAGAAGTGTGCATGGGGTCTAGCAATGTGGTGGTCATTGGGGACCTTAGCACTAGCATTTTTAGTACCATGGTGGAGGTGAGAGCCTCAAAGAAGTGGGTTCAAAAGAAAATGAAAAAAGAGTAAAGACTTTCATGTTTATTTAGCACCTGCTTCCTATCATTGACCAGAAGGACAGGGTCTTTGATTTGTCACTGGTGTGTCCTCAGTGCCTACTATAGTGTGTGGCCCACAGTGGGTGCTCAGGAAATATTTAAATTATTAAATGGATGAATGAATGAATGATTCTTTCTCATCCTTCAGGTTTCAGTTCAGAGGTCACCTCCCCCAGAATACCATCCTTAGCCCCAGAAATCCAGGTGACACACCTCTGTGCTCCTTTAGCTATTGCGACTGAAATAGGATTGTTGCTTTGTCTTTCTCCCCATGAGATGGTCACTCCACAAATTCACAGATTGTCTGTCTTGCTCATTGATGTATCCCCAGTGCCCCACAGAAGGCTTGATGCACTGTACAAGGAAAGTGAGTAGCCTTGAGGGGTGGAGCTGAGTGCAGGGGAACATTAAAGAGGGCCTGGAAGATAGCCTCCTTTTGTATAGCAAACTCATACTAAAGCCAAATATCATGTCCTTGTGAAAAGCTTCTCTGTTAGATGTGGTGGTATGTGCATCTGTAGTCTCAGCAACTCAGGTGGCTGAGCCTGGATAACTGCTTGAGCCCAGGAGTTTGAGGTTGCAGTGAGCTACGACCATGCCACTGCTCTCCAGCCTGGGTGACAGAGTAAAAATCTGTCTCTAAAAACAAAAATGTAAAAAAGCTTCCCTGACTAAGTGTTGTGGGAAGTCAGGGACCCCGAACGGAGAGACCAGCTGGAGCCGTGGCAGAGGAACACAAATTGTGAAGATTTCATTTTAACATGGACATTTATCAGTTCCCAAAATTAGTACTTTCATAATTTCTTATGCCTGTCTTTAATCTCTTAATCCTGTTATGTTCAAAAAGAAAGGGAGAGATGTTGCGGGAAGTCAGAGACCCTGAACGGAGGGACTGGCTGGAGCCACAGCAGAGGAACATAAATTGTGAAGATTTCATTTTAGTATGGACATTTATCAGCTCCCAAAATTAATGCTTTTATAATTTCTTATGCCGGTCTTTACTTTAATCTCTTAATCCTGTTATCTTCGTAAGCTGAGAATATACATCAGGTCCACTCAGAACCACTATTGTGTTAACTGTACAAACTGATTGTAAAACATGTGTGTTTGAACAATATGAAATCAGTGCACCTTGAAAAAGAACAGAGTAACAGCGATTTTTAGGGAACAAGGGAAGACAACCATAAGGTCTGACTGCCTGTGGGGTCGGGCAGAATAGAGCCATATTTTTCTTCTTGCAGAGAGCCTATAAACAGACGTGTGCAAGTAGGGAAGATATCACTAAATTCTCTTCCTAGCAAGGAATATTAATAATTAAGACCCTGGGAAAGGAATGCATTCCTGGGGGGGGAGGTCTATAAACGGCCGCTCTGGGAGTGTCTGTCTTATGAGGTTGAGATAAGGATAGAAATACGCCCTGGTCTCCTGCAGTACCCTCAGGCTTACTAGGATTGGGAAACCCCCAGCCCTGGTAAATTTGAGGTCAGACTGGTTCTCTGCTCTTGAACCCTGTTTTCTGTTAAGATGTTTATCAAGACAATACATGCACAGCTGAACATAGACCCCTATCAGGAGTTCTGATTTTGTCCTTGCTCTGTTTCCTCAGAAGCATGTGATCTTTGTTCTGCTTTTTGCCCCTTAAAGCATGTGACCTACTCCCCATTTGTACACCCCCTCCCCTTTTGAAATCCTTAGTAAAAACTTACTAGTTTTGTGGCTCAGGTGGGCATCACAGTCCTACCAATATGTGATGTCACCCCCGGAGGCCCAGCTATAAAATTCCTCTCTTTGTACTCTTTCTATTTCTCAGCTGGCTGACATTTATGGAAAACAGAAAGAACTTACGTTGAAATATTGGGGGCGGGTTCCCCCGATAACCAAGCAGCCCAGAGTAGGTCACTATATTATAGCATATAGGTCAAGGCTGCAGTGAGGGCCTTGACCCTGTCTCCAAAACATACCCTGTATGTTTTGTTCAGAGCACTTATCACAACAGTATTTTGTTGTGGGATGTTTGATTTACTCCTCTCCTCTTACACTGTGAGCTCCACAGAAATACAAACTGTGTCTACTTTACTGGGGCCCCCACGTCTGGCACATGGGTAGACATCCAATCAATGCTTGTTGAGTGATTAAGTGACCAACTGGAACATCAAGGTGCTGATCAAAAGAAGGCATCGATGGGCAGAAGACATTTGTGGGAGGAGATACTGAAGCAGGGGGATCTGCCAAGGGCACTACAGGCAGAGGACATGATAAGGAGGTGATCTGGCAGCCAAGCATTATGCATGCCACGTTGCAGCAAGCTCACAACTGGACAGCTAGCACAATGCGGAGCACAGTGTACAGTGGGCCTCAGAAATGAAGAGCAATGTGCAGCAGACTTTCAGAGAGAGGGAGAGGCAGTTCTCAAGCAGGGTGCATTATTCAGAGAGGCTGTGAAGGCAGAGGGCAGAGTGGACAGTGGTCACAGGCAGTGACCGCAGCTGTGCAGGGAGAACCCCATGAAGAACACATTCACAGCAAAGCACAGGGCTATAAAACAAGCCTGCACAAATTTTAAAATGTTGAAGTTATGCAAAGTGTGTTAACCTACCATAATGGAATGAAATTAGAAACTGATAACTGAAGGAAATTTGGGGAACCCACATTAAACAACAAACTCCAAAATAACCAGTGGATCAAATAAGAAGTGATAAGGGGAATTAGAAAACCTTTGAGATGAATGAAAAGGAAAACACAACATGCAGCTAGAGAAGTGCTCACAGAACAATTTCCAGCTGTACATGCATACATTCAAGAAGAAAGATATTGGCCGGGCATGGTGGCTCACACTTGTAATCCTAGCACTTTGGGAGGTCAAGGTGGGAAGACTCATTGAGCCCAGGAGTTCTAGACCAGCCTGGGCAACATGGCCAAACCCCACCTCTACAAAAAAATTCAAAGGAAAAAATTAGCCAGGCATGGTGGCACGTGCCTGTAGTCCCAGCTACTCAGGAGGTTTAAGTGGCAGGATTGCCTGTGCCCAGGAGGTCAAGGCTACAGTGAGCCATGACTGTGCCACTGCACACCAGCCTGGGAACAGGGTAACACCCTGTCTCAAAAAAAAAAAAAAAAAAAAAAAAGAAAGAAGGATCTCCAATCAATAACCTAACTTTACAACTTAAAGGAACTAGAAAAAGAAGAGCAAAGTAAATCCAAAGCAAGTAGAAGGGAAGAAATGACAAAGATTAAAGGTGACATTAATGAAACAGAGAGCAGAAAATAATAGAAAAAAATCAATAAAATGATTTTTTTTTAAAAAAGTCAATGATGTGGTTCTTTACAAACAAGAAAATCAACAGACCTTAAGTAAGACTAACTAAGCAAAGCACACTATGGCAAGGGCAATTACAGGCAGAAGCCCTTGTGCAGATAGGCCTCATTGGCTGGGCCCTAGGTGATGAACAAACTCAGCAGCAGAGATCAGAGAGCAGAAGGCATCTGCAGGTAGAAGGCACTGTGCAAGGAGCCAGGAGCAGAAGGCATTAGGAGGCAGAGGACAGTGGGAAGAAGGCATTCAGAAGCAGGTTTGGGACCTTCACAGGCAGAGGATACTGTACAGAGAAGTTTCACAAGAGGAATACATTCTGGGGAGGAAAATCCACAGGCCAAACACAATCCTAAGCAAGGAGCAGTCCCCAGAGGACATAGAGATGCATGGGTAGGAGACCGTCACAGATACAAACCTGGGATAGAAAGGAGGAGTCATGGTAATGGAGGAGGCCCAACAATAGGATCGACTTGCTGTTTCAGAATGACCCTCCCCTATTTTTCCTTTAGGTCTTTGTGTCACACTGTCACCAATTAAAAGTCCTACAAATACCTAGTTAGGAGCTACTGTTGCAGTCCTTGTCATTTGAATTAGTAAAAGCTCTTCCTTCCTTCCCATTGTAACAAGATGAAGGCCAAAGTTGGGGTGAGAAAATAGCTAGAGGGACACTAGTCCAATGGCCCTGAGGCCCCTACTCAGTGGCAGAAGGAGTTCTCGGAGTATTATGTCTATCTTTGGACTTCCTGATCACCCTTTCCTGTCCCTGGGTTGAATCAAGACTTGGATCGCATGCAGATTACACTGGTACACATCTAGAGGAATGAGTTGGAGTATGTGTTGGGGTCACCTTTGAGGAGGGCCTTTGAGAGATGTGTATTCAGAATTACTGTCAAGGAAGAGTTAGAGGGACCAGGGGTGTTTAAATGTGAGAAGAGTTGACCAAGACAGAATCTGAGAAGTATTTTCATCTATTTTAAGAGCTGGCATCTAGCGGAGGGATTAAAGACCACCAGTGGGTGACATACAGAAATGGACTTTAACTCAACTGAAGAATGCATCTTCTAAAACCACAGACAGCAGGGGCTTGTAAGGAACTGAGCTCCTGGTCACTGGAAGTGGGCACTAATGACTAGGTGGCTGTCTGTCTGCAGTGGTAATCATGAGAAGGATGGACCGCCCCCGCTCTCTGCCGCCACAATACAATATTCTTCATTAAGATTTGATGTGTCTAGAATTCCACAGTTCCTGTGCATGCCCAGTGTCTAGAGCTTGCTATTAAGTACTTGTTTACTTTTGTACAGAGAATGGCTTCAGGCAATAGGAATAAAGAAATCACACAGCTGAATACACCAAGTTATTACACTTCAAAAGAAAACTTTAACACTGACACATGTGATATCTTACCATTTATTATAATTGCGCACATTAGTGTGGATTAAGTATGATTAGAAACACTAAGCAATTGAAAAGAAGCAAAAAGGTAATGCATCCCTCTTCCTCAGATCTGCAAAATTCTGTGCCTTTTTAGACATGAGAGAGGCTGTTTTGGATCTAAGTCAATAATGGCTCTTGCAAGATTTCTTTCAATGTCTTGCATGTTGGTTCTAAAACTCCCTTAAAGGCAGACTATACCTTGAACGGGGGAAGCCAGCCTATCTTGGGCCTCTTTACCTTGCCTTTCATCCACTGGTCCTGCACTGAGACTCAGGGATAGCACCTCTCACCAACGGGGTGACTTTTATTTCCTTCACTCATTCATTGAGTGCCTGTGTGTTAGTGTCCACCACGTGCCAAGTCTGATGTTGGGGACTACAGCTGAGGAAGAGCAGTTGGTATTTAGTGTGGGTACATGCCCTCCAGAGGAAATCCACTACAAATAAATGGAATGTTCCTCTCTGATCATTTGGCAGGAAGAACAAGCCCACAAGCCAATGTGCATAGGGCTCAGAAACTGGAGAAAGACGTAGACATTTTATAATTAAATCAAGAGCAGAGGCCCTCATTTTGTATCAGAAATACTCTAAGGTTGTTCTTCCTTTCAAGGAACTTACAGAGTGATGCTGGGCCCACAGATGGCAGAGTCCAGCTGAACCTGAGCAGAGGATCGGCTGACTGCATGGACAGGCTTACATCTGCCCAGCCATCCAACGAGTTTCCATGTCCCAAGTACCTGGGGCCCCAGCAGTTGCCACTAGCTTAAGGCAGAGTCTAGACAGGAAAATGGGTCACTGAAAGCTCTCTGCTCAGATCAGCTAGCCCCCTGGAGCTTTTCCTGGATTCACAAGCTCCTCTTTGGTAATGTCTGTGAGTCAAATCTGTTCTCAGCTGAAAGCATCTCAGTTTGGAGGCATTTTCATGGGCGGAGAGGAGGGAAAGGGGCAGCTTGGCCCTTGAAGTACTTCATGGGGGGGGGGATAATTCAGGGATCCAGGATGCCCAGAGGAAGAGTGTGATTTCACACCTTCTGCTCTTTGCAAGCCTATGCCTTTGGGAGGCCTGAAGGGAGGGTGTTAACCTGGCAGGAACTGTGTACCCTCTGCACAGTGCTTGGCACACACTGAGCACAAAATCAATGCTTGCTTTTGTGGGTGCTGCTCTGGGAAGAGCATGGGCTCTGTAGCGTTCTGCGCAATGCAATAGCCACCTCTCTGAGTTCCAATATCCTCATGTCTAAGATGGGATGAGAATATCACCTTCACAGGATTATTATGGGGATTAATGCCATTACTCTGTGACAGTGCCTGCTATGTGGTAGAGCCTCAAGAAATGTTAGCTGCTTTTCCACCTCCTTAATCCTGCTGGGATCTATACACCCTAAAACCCACTTGGGAAGATTTATGTGTGAAGTTCAGGGAGCAGAATTGAGGGCAAATTAATCAGCTATCAAGATTCCAACAGACACAGATATCACTTTGATCAGTAGCATCCTAAAATCACATCCTACTGAATTTAAACCTAATTGTGTAAATTTTCCAACACATGCCAACATACCTGTAAGGGAACACTCAAATATAGTGAAAGGTGAGTGGAAGACCAAATGAAAAACTGCTATATAACTCAATCAAAAGCAACTAACTACTTTTACAAGTGTATGGAAATTTAAAAAAAATAGATATGGCAAATAGACAAGCTAAACACTAGCCTATGCCAATCCCTAGCATTTGATGTCTGCAATTTACCCACCAGGGATCATCAACAGTCTTCAACTTGGCCCATTATAAGCCTCAAGGGAGTCAGGACACACTGAACCCTACACTTCTGCCCACTTAAACTCATTAGAAAGCCAATCTGTCTTAGGGAAGCCAAGATGGAATTCCTGTTTGATCCTCTTTGGTTGAGCCTGAAATGACATCATGGGCATAAAGCGCTTTCTAAGCTACAAGAAGCTACACACACAAGCAATTATCATAGCATCATTAAGATACGATATTGGATGTATGCAACTTCAACTTGAGAAGGGCAAAAGCATGAAGAAATCAAACAGGGAGGGAGGAGGTGAGGGAAGGGGAGACAGCAACTTGGGGCAAAACTGGGGACAGCCAAATTTGTCCACGAGTCATCAGCTTCTGATCAGCCTGGCGGTGGGGGGTCGCTAAAAGAAAACAGAAGTAGCCATGAGACTGGAAACACATCAGCTAGAGGCCCTCAGGGTGGGTGACTGCTCCAGTCATCAGGAGTTACCACCTAGCTCAAGGTGTGTCTTCTGGAGAGAAGACCATCAGCATGGAGCTAGTGGAAAGCCTGGTTGCTACTGCCTTCAAGGGATATATTCTGCTCTGTGCTCAGACACCGTGATAAATTCCACTGGCTATGAGCATGCAAACACACATCTTCAGGCAGTTCTCATAATGTGGCCCAGAGGCTTGTTTCACTGAGCACCATGGCTATGCAGTCCTGATCTGAAGCTATGCGAGTGACAGTGAACAGAGAGCCCTGGACAAGAATCCAAAGACCTGGGGTGAGGTCCTGATTCTACCTGGGTTTCTCCAGGTCCCCTCCCTTTCTATATCTTTATTTCCTTGTTGCAAAATGGGGCTAACAACAGCGGCCGAGCGAGTATCCCAGGGTAGCTAGAGGGCTCGGCTCAGGTGCTGGACGGAAGGTGTGATTTGGAAGTGTCCTCATTGAGGGCCTTTGTCCATGCCACCTAAGATCTCAAAGTATCACAAGGCATAGGGACATGAGGACACAAGGCCCCCTGAACATAAGGAAGAGCCAAGAAAGATAGCTGTGTCTGGGGCTGAGACTCCAGGAGAGACCAGGGTGCATCTCTACTCCTTAATGAGTCTCTTGGCCACTTGTCCTTTGCAGTGCCAGCACCCACCTAGAAGAGCTTCTCATAGCATTTCCCACAGTGAATGGTGTCACGGTGAATGAAGATCTGATCCAGGAGATCGCCCATCGGTTTACTGCAAATCCCACACTGAAAAGAAAAGCAAGCTGGAGGTCAACACACAAAGCAAAGCAAGAGGAATGAGTGGAGTGGGAAGGGGATGCCTGAACAAGGTGGGCGAGCAGATGCTGTGAGCCCGTGGCACATCCTGGACCTCAGGACTTGCAAACATCACAAAATAATACAAAAAACATCACAAAATAATACAAAAAAAAGCCTTTTTTTTCAGTAGGGAGTAGTAAGCACAGCTAGCAGCTCAGCTACTTTCAAGGGCCAGTGGGCAAGCAAAGGGGAACCTGTTTGGCATGATTTGACCAGAAATGTGTTTCCCTGTGGTCAGCCGGTTCTCAGGAGAAGCTGCTAAGTGGGGCATGTTCTGCATTGCAGCACTTACTTAACCAGGAGCAAGCAAAGTTCAGGCCCTGTGGGGAGGACAGAAGCCTGCCTAACATTCTGTCAAGGCAAAGGGGAGGGTTGTTTTTCTCAGTGCACCCAGAGGTGACACCCTAAATGGATTGGAACCAACAACCTGGGGTTACAAAGTGCCACACACTGTGGAGAATGGGGACCCCAATGTCACTTAGAATAAAATCCAAACTCTGTGCCCGCCAAGGCCTACATGATCTAGCCCACTCTGTCACTCCTGGCATTCTCCCACGCAAGCTAGAACACTCTAGTGCTTCTGCCCCAGGGCTTTTGCACTTGCTGGCCCTCTGCCAGAAATAGTCTTTCCTGAAAAGACCTCTTTTGTCTTCCCTACAGTACTAAGCATGCAGAACCACCAACACTCATCTACTGTCTTAGACTTGGAAGCTCATTCAGCTCCCAGTTGTGCAAAGCCTCTGCGACTATGTGCAATTGTATATGGAGATCAAGCCTCCTCCACAGTCTCTGAACCCGTAAGACTCCCGCACTCTACAAAACGTTCTTAGCAGCACGTGATCAGGAGTTACCGCCTAGCTCAAGGTGTCTTCCACCTCTTTTTTACCTTAAAGCAATATTCATGGCAGCAGATACCAAGATGTTCTAGGGTAATCTTTGGACAGTCTCGGATCTCACGGTTGCAGTAAGTACAGATCCCTCCAGTTGTCCTGTGAGATGAAGAACAATAACCCGGTGGTCAGGCTGGTGTACAGACCTCTGATGTGACACAGCCAGACCTTCCAATTTGGTGCAGCCAGGCCCAGGTTTGCTGTCAGGATCCCCAGGATGCCACTGTTTTCTGTGGTGTGCAGCACAGCCCTGGGCCAGATCAGTTCTCAGCCTGCTGTAGACCTCTGCATTATTTCCAAAAACTAGTCATGCATCTTTTTCCAGCTCACAATGACATGTCTCCTGTAGATGTCCTGATATGATACTTATTCCAGACAGTTTGCCTCCCCCTGACCTTCTGCTTAGATTATCCGCTGGGGCCTGCTACCCTCTAGAGCAGGAAGACCAATGCCTTCTCCTACAGGAGACATGTCATTGTGTGCCCTGCCTGGCCCCGTCTTGATGGCCCTTCTCCTCACGCCTGGGCCAACTGAGCTCTGCCCCTGCCTATACTCCTGGACCCACCCTTCATGCTCTGTCTGTAGAGCCTACTCAGATCCGACACTGAAGTTCTAGATACTGACTCCTGGGTTGAGCATCTTTCCAGTTCCAGGATGCCTGTTTCTGAGAGTCACCTCTGCTTTTCTTCCTCAGACTGCACTTCCTCAAAGTAACTGCTTGATCTGATCCTACAAGCCAAAATTCAGGGTACTTTCTTCCAGAGATTTGGGTCTGCTTCTGACAGAAGCCCAAGGGGCGGGGGGACATTAACAATCTAGATCCACGTTAGCTCTGTCGGAGGACCCAGAAGTGTCACGGGCAGCTTGGGTGTGGCCCACCATCCTGCTGCTGGCCCAGGGTTCACTCTGGACAGCAGTGCTGCTTGAAATCCTTGCCCTCAGCGCAGCCCTGCTCCTCCTGCTTCTTTCACCACCAGCAGCACCAGCTCACAGCTGTTCTTTGTGTGCGTGCATGTGTGTCTGTGCATATGCATGTGTGCAAGTGACTGAGATTGTCCCTAGAGAGTCCCCTTCCTTCCTCCAAGCCTAGCAATGGATCAGTAATGACTGATTCTGGATTTAGTAGTTGTGCAATGGAAAGGGGGGTCCCTAGAGTATCTGGTTTGTCACTCCACTAGAATTGGAAGCCTCATTCCATTTGCTCCTATGTAAGTGGTTAACTCTCAGGTTTCTGACCAACCTGCCCTTCTCTGCTAAGACTTCATCTGCTGATGTGCCTCACCAAGTAATCTGTAGTTACTCAGAACCACCTGCTTCTTCAGCTATAGTGGAGGAGATTCCCTGGCCCCATATGCTTGTCTGCTCCTATATGTTTGCCTCTGGGGCCCGGTAGGATTCTCTTTATCTTAACCCTCTTACTTCCTTCCTTTTCCTCCCCAATGTAGCTTTGGTCTCTGAATGTCATCCACATGAATTAAGATCTGCCCATCAATGAGAAGCAAGATGGCAGAGTAGAAACATCCCTAACCTGGGAGTAGTCAGGGCCCTGGGGTTTAGTCCTGGGTCTGCCGTATTTGCTTACTGTGGACTGAAGGCTATTTATTCCATTTTCTTCACAGAAGCCTGAGTGAACTCAATCTCTGAGACTCTCTTCTCCCCATTCCAAGAATCTGAACATAAGATTTCTTTGTCATTAAGACTCTCTAGTGACTGTGCCATCATCTAGTGACAGCTTTCAAAACTGCTGAACGAGGTGTTCTCTGCCCCTGCTTTCAATTTGGTGGCTCCACAGCACTGGGCATTCTTGGCTTTGTGTGTCTTTCTGGCTTCTTGATGCCAGCAGCCCATTTTTCTTCCTTCTCTGCCCACTCCTCTCTTTTGTAGTCATTTTATTTTTACTTCTGGTTAGATTTGCAAGTTAATGAAGTGATTGATTAGGTTCTAATCTGAAGGGCCCCTCCTGCTGACACGAGTCCTCTGGGTTGTCAGATGCCACCACTTCCCTTCTCAGTCACCGCTGGTATCTACCCTCTAGTCTTAGCTCAATTCAAAGGCTTTAGTTGTCACAAGTGTGATATCCCAACAAGGGAAGCACCACCCTACGGTAGTGTCCTTCACCTTTCTGCAAATGGATTGGAGGCTGCAAAGCAGAAGACAAAAGCAAACAGACTCAGCAGGAACTCTCCCTTCCCTGATTCTCCTCTGTAGAAGTGCAAGCTCCGTGCTAAGAAAGTCAACATACCTCTCAGAGTATGGAGTGCTGCCACATGGAGGCTTCTTCTCCATGGCGAATGAGTCCTCAATGCTGCTGACGCTGCAGGGAGTTTGATAGGGGAGAGGAGGGCAGAGATGAGAGCCAAATCACTATCATAGTTAATTTTCTAATTAACCTTTGGCCACAAGCTGAGACATAACTACGATGCCAGTCGTCATTCATGACTTGGTGCCACAGGGCCCTTCTATGGGGGGGCAAAGGAGACCTTTCACAATGAGGGAGATGATCGGGGCTGGGTGGCTAGGATTCCTGAGGTTGTATATGCCAAGGGGACCCCACTGACCAGTGGGAAAACAGCAGAGCTTTCCTCCCCACCTATGATATAATGTGACAGTCACCAGGAGCCCACTCAGCAGAAATCAGATACTGGGAATGAGAAGAAAGAAGGGATCATTCTGGTATAATACCTGTGCTTGAGTTATGGGGTAGAATTAGGGGGTGCAGACGGGTTTGGAGTTTCTTTTTGGGGAGACAAAGGTGTTCCAGAATTGGATAATGATGTTTGCATAACTCTGTGAATGTACCAAAACCTCGGGACTGTACACTTTAAAGGGTGAATTATAACTCAATAAGCTGTTGAGAAAAACCACCCTAAGGGCCTACAGATGTGAAAGCAAAGCTCAGAGAGGTTGAACATCTTGTCCGAAGTGATCCTAACAGGGGGGCCTGAGCTGGGGCTTGAACTTGACCCCCACAGCCATGCTCATCATTCCACAGCACCAATAAAAGCCAGTCCAGAAGCCCCAGAGGCCCAATCCTGAAATAAGGCCAGGATGCTCCTCTCTGTTGCTAAAATCCTCCAGTGAGATGACATGTCATAAGAAACATTCTAAGGGACCTCACCTCAGTGTGGTAGGTAGCAATACACCGAGGTGACATGGAAGTACCCCTCCACATGGCATCACAAAGCAAGAAAATGAAGAGATGATCAATGAAAAGGGGAGGCCGAGGCAGGTGGATTGCTTGAGGTCAGGAATTCGAGACCAGCCTGGCCAACATGGTGAAACTTCATCTCTACTAAAATACAAAAACTAGCTGGGCATGGTGGTGGGCGCCTGTAATCCCAGCTACTAGGGAGGCTAAGGCAGGAGAATTGCCTGAACCCAGGAGGCAGAGGTTGTGGTGAGCTGAGATGGCGCCACTGCACTCCAGCCTGGGCAACAGAGCAAGACTCCATCTCAAAAAAAAATTAATTAAAATTAATTAACTAATTAATTAAAATTAAAAAGCAAAGCCACACATGTATCAGGAACTGCAGTCACATGTGTGTTCAAATGAGGCAGCCTGGCATGACAGAAAAGAACATGAGGGCAGAAGAGAAGAGCTCTGTGATCTGAAAAGAAATAGGATGAGCTAGTTGGTCCCTAGGGCTCTGCCAGCTCTGTCAAGAGGGGTGTTCTCAGCATTTTACAAAATAAAATAACAAAGACAAGCAGAACAGAATGGCAGTGAAAATGGTGTGCAGGATGAATTCACCGGAAGGGAGAACCCAAAGGTGCCCAGTTCAGTAGAAAATGCATCAATCCCATCAGAGGGCAACTACATCACTCATCCACTCGACAATTACCCCGAAGCTACTCTGAGCCAAGTCCTGGACAAGGAACTGGAAATGCAGGGATGAGAATATGGGAGCCGGCAGGAGAAGGCCGACATGGAAGGGTTTGGGACCCGCTCTTACTTGCTATAGCGTGCAGATACTGGCTTCCCAGAAGACACTTCACTAGCATTCACGTACTCCTTCACGAAGAGAATCCCTTTGCTGTAGAAGGAGCACAGAAGAAATCAGAGGTACACCAGAAGATTCCAGGGAACCAGGCCTGGCCCACAGGAGTGGTTCAGGGCTGGGGAGACCCAGCCTGGTTTGAAGGAAGTGAAAGAGCTCATGGGAAGGCCCAGGATAAAGGCACTGGCACTGCTGTGGACTCAGACTACAATCCCAGGCCATGAGCGTCTCTTGTTGTGTTTGGACTGAGGGCCCCAGAAAGGGGCTTCCTGCAACCAATGACAATGTGCTGTCCTCCTCCATGCAGACCTCGGTGACCCCATCTTCTCCCCAGGCTTCTATACTTCTACACTTCAGTCCTGTGGGCTTTCCACCCCTACTTTAGGGCTGCGTCGTCTTTCCCCTCTACCCACAACCAAGATATCCTCCAAGCCTTAATCCTACACTGTCAGTCTTTACCACTCAGCACTTCCCAGAAGGTACTCAGCTACTGTGCAATCTCCACCTCACATCTAACCTCTCCATTCTCACTCCTAGAGTCCAGAGGCCTAGAGGTTGCCTCATCCTGGACTGGCCTCTGCAGGACTGGAAACAAGGTCTGCATCATGCTGGGCTCAGGATGGCCCCAAATTTTCCCCCATTTCCATGCTGCACACTCCAGCCTGCTGACCTGATGTCTGCAGAGGCCCCCTTGGATATGCCCCCCTCCCGCCCCCAACACACACACCTCACTGAGCAGCCTTCCTGCAGTGACATCCCTTCCTGCACCCTGACAGGTGGCCAGGAATGCAGGTGAAGCAGTGGGCATGTGACAGAGACAGACAAACCTCATGTTGAAATGTGATTCCCAGTGTTGGAGGTGGGGCTTGGAGGGAGGTGACGGGATCATGGGGGGATCCCTCATGAACAGCTAGCACCATCCCCTTAGTGAAAAGTGAGTTCTCATTCAGTTAGTTCACACAAGATCTGGTTGTTTCAAAGTCCGGGCCCTCCCCTTCCTCACTCTTGTTCCTGCTCGTGCCATGTGATGGTCCTGCTCCCACTTCGGCTTCCACCATGATTATAAGCTTCCCGAGGCCTTTGCCAGAAGCCAAGCAGCTGCTGGTGCCATGCTTGTGCAGCCTGCCAAACTGTGAGCCAATTAAACCTCTTTCCTTTATAAATGTCCCAGCCTCAGGTATTCCTTTACAGTAACACAGGAATGCCCTCACAGGCCCGGCCTTCACGGACTGGAGCTGGCTTCCCAGGCATGGACCCATGAATGGCAGAGCCACATCCACTAGTGCACTAGGAAGTACCACTGCAGCCTCTTACAGAGATAGGAAAAAGGAGGTGTGGGAATGTCTAGGCCCGGTAGATGGGAGTTTATATTAGGGGACTAACACTGTCCTGTGTGGCCCCTTGGCTAATGGCCTGCTAGAAACTGGGGAAGGCACTAAATGGGAAGCAACATGGAACAAAAGCCAAGTCCTTTACCGCCAAGGAGGAAGTGGCGGAGGAACATCTCCCAGGTTGCTAGATAGCCCTTCTTACGTGGTAGAGCTGGAGTCCAATTCACTTGCGGGGGCTGGAATATAAATGTGAGGCTGCTCAGATGTGGCAGTGACAGTAACAGTGACCATGCAGCTCGAGGGGCTCCTCACCCTGAAAGAAATAAAGGGAGGGGTGGGCACGTCAACCTGGGAGCTGACACCTTCCAGGGTCAAACAGGCTTTTCTGAGCCTAACCCTTGAGCACTGCTCTTGAAGCTTCCTCCAAGACCAACAAATGGAACTTCTCACTTTACAGATAAGCAAACCCAGGCTAGGTGAGTTGAGACATGTCCCAGGTCACATCGTGAGTCAGTAGCAAGACCCCAATCTTCCAGTGTCCACTCAGTACTCCTGACTGCAGCCAAGGGCCTTGGCCTCTGTGATTCACTCAGTTAGAGTGGAATCATGGGGCTCCCGGGGATGTGACAGTCAGGAGGGTGCAGAAGGGGAAGACACAGCCCAGCTCACCTCCTCACTGGATGGGACGGTCCCTTACTAGGATCAGCTCCTTCTGCCACCCTGCAGGGAACTCTCTAGAGAACACAAGGCCAAGGGGCAGAGGACCAAATGAAATTAGGCATCATTGAGGAGGAAAGTCAGATGCACCTCATTCCCAGCAGAGGCGGGAAACTGACCGGTGTCGAAGTTTTTCTGAACCTCCACACTTCAGCTGCCAGATATGGCCCTTGGCCTGGAATCCAACCTCCTCGGCAGCCCAAAAGGGCTTTTCTCTGGCCAAGCCAATATCGGCTCTCACTCTGCCTGCCCCCAGGCTATGAGCCTCATTACCAAAGCTGCCGTAGCTGTCAACTGCAGTTCAGGGCACGATGTTGGGCAGCACCACTGACCACTTGTTTGCACCTTCCAACTTAAGTCTGCTCACCCTCCAAAGGCCTGAGGCCAGCACTATGGGTGCACACTGCCCTGGGCTGATTCTGGCTTTTCTCCAACATGCTGTGGCTCAGATCATACTCCAGATATGGCTGCCTCCATCTGGCCCAGGCTACTGGGTATTGTCCCCTTGCCAGAGAATCCAATGCCTAAGATTACAACTAGTTGAAGAGTGGGGAAAGGGAAGAACAATCATGGTCTAGCATCTGCCTAGCTCTCTCGCCTCATAGTCTCAAACTGTATCACGTGCCACTCAAGCCGTACAGACCAGCCTGCAGTTCCCCTGGACTTCCAGGCTCTCATATGCCTTTGCAGACAATATCACCTCCTCTGGGAAGCCCTTCCTGAGGGCCTGCCCTCCTACCTCACCTCAGTGTACCCAATCATCCTGTACCTGTTCCTGCTTCACCCTATGACAAAGAAATATACCATAGAGACTGGAGAAGGTGGACTGGATGGGAGAGGAGGCCCCACAAAAATCTGAAAAGATACACGGGGGATAAAATGCAGAGCCAACAAGTGAGAAAAGGATTGATTCTAAGAGGAAGGAAGGAAGACCTCCTACTGACTGAACAACTACCAGGTGTCTGGTATCCTGTGATCCATGTCAGCAGAATACTGAAGGGGACGGCGCAACTGAAGAGGCAAGGTAAAACAGAAATTCCCTGGAGCTACTTGGGAAGCTGAGGCAGGAAGATCACTTGAGGCCAGGAATTCAAAAACAACCTGGGTAACACAGTGAAACACCGCCTCTTAAAAAAAAGAAAAAATGCCCTGGGCATCCCCCCAGGACTGCAATGTGAGCAATAGGAGCCCTCCCAATAGCCTCCTCTCCCTCACCTACAAGACCCTACAGGGCCCAGCTCCTGCCCCCTGCTCACCTCACCCCGTACCCTCCAAGCACAGGGCTCATTGTTCAGGCCCTCCTCCCTATCTTCTTTGTCCACAATGCCTCTCCCCAGGTTCTTTGGAAGGCAGGCTCCTCCAGATGTTTCAGGTCTCAGCCGAACTGTCTCCTCCTCGATAGAAAAGCTTTCCCTAACCATCCTTGCTCTAACCCCTCTCCATCAGAGCACCTGGTTTCTTTCCTTCCTGGGCTTATCACAAATGGAGGGGCAGTATGGATGCCACAGCGATGAACAGTACAGGCTCTGATCTCTGTCTGGATTCTAATCTCGGTTAGGCCACTTCCTGGCTGCAAAACTGCCAGCAAATTACTTAACCTCCATCTGCCTCAGTTTCTCCATAATAAAAGCACCTCCTTGAGTTGGTGTGAGAATTAAATGAGTGAGTCCACATAAGGCATGCAGAACAGTGCCTGCACATTCTCAGCACACAGCAGGTGCTAATGGTTATTACGATCATGCTTATTCCTTAGTGGACTATGTGCTCTTTGAGGGCGGCTGGATGGGGCCTTAGCCATCGTGTTCACTGTGTACATGGCTGCTCACAGGAGGCTCTTAGTATGCAGCATCTCTAGCCGGCGGCCCATGGCTCCTGGTTATTCCCAAACTCATGGCCACTTTGGGAAAAAAAAATCTCTGGGGAACAAAGGGAGCTCTCAAAAGACACGTGCACCTTCTTTCACCATCATCAACTGCAGCTCCAGGCAGTGATAAAGCAAGGACCTCTGGCCTCACACAGAAAAGGACCAGAGGGAAACTGAGGCTGGCTGCTGGCATGCATCCCATGTGTTAGGTTTGAGAGACCAGAGCCAGGCTGAGGAATGCAAGAGGTCAGCAAAAATTTTCTTTGCTGAGTTCCTTGGCAAGATAAAGCTAGCACAGCCCTCTCCTCACCCTGTTCCTGAAGCCACCCTATCAAAGCAATGGATCATGGCAGGAGAGTGAAGGCAGAGCCAGAATACTTCATTGGCAGGGACAAGATGAGGAAAGACTGGAAGCTGGTCAAGGGAATGACCTGGAACTGGGAGACAGAGAGAGCACAGAGATCACAGCAAGGCAATGGGTCAAAATCAGTTAAGTGGACAGGACGATCGCCACAAAATACCAGAAATAAGGACATCTTGAAAATGCAGCCAGTCCTGCCTCGAACTGGAAGCCTCTACCACATGTCCTGCCAGTGCAAGAGCCAATAGGTGGGTTCCCAGTGACCAAAGCTGGATGTGAGAGCCAGAAAATTCTGTCACAGAGAGGGAGATGAAGTTCACCTGGCAGGAATGGGTAAAATGTCATCAAATCATGGCATTCTCTCCTGCCCTCTAGGCCCTGCCCATGTTGCAATGGCTGTGAAGCACTTCCTGAGACCACACTGTTTCCAGTTCAACAACTCCAGTTTTCCATGGATTTTTGGAAATGACAATTGACAGAATGTTTCAGGATGATATAAAATCTGATACTAGATTGCCTGTAAAAACATTTTCAAAACTCAATTATTTTCAAATGTGAAAAAATATGCTACAAGTCACCTAGGATTTCAAAATTGGGAAAGTTCTTACAGCTACCACAAACATCACAATTGGGTGTGGATCCACACTGATCTACAAAGGCCAGAAGCCAGGAAACTACCACTTTGGGAGACCTGAGCTGCTCACAGAAAAGCACAAGCATCTGGTGTTGTCTGTTCCCTAGTACCTGGCTGTTCCTTGGTTCTTGGTCTCTCTCAGAAAATTCAGAGCCCCTGTTTCCTCAGGCTACTGCTGCCAACTTCTTGCAATCAATGAGCAACCCTGAGTCAGCACTGTGGAGCTACATTACTGTCCAAATCCATGGCCATCCCAGTGCTGATGGCAGTGGAAGAGCTCATCCAACTGGTACAGTTGTTATTTCTGGCAGTGAATCACATCCACACCATGGCACACCTTGCTCAGAGAGTTTCCATCTCCATTAACAGAAAAAGCAACCTATATCCCTCCCCTGACCCAGGTTTCCAGGTTCGAACTGGCTGCCAGACAACCTGGTTCTCTGTGCATCCTTTCTGTGCCAGACTTAGTCTAACAGATTTGATGCTATGGCTCCAAGCTGAAACCCATGAATATCTACCCCTGAGATGCTGGTTTCTCTCCTTCCCTCTGGCTCCTAACCACACTCACCTGCAGAGGATAAACAGGCATGCCTAGTGTGTGGGGGTTTGTCCTGGGTTGCTGCCCTGGACAAAAACACTGGCTCTAGCAGGTAAGGTCCCAGTGCAGTTTGGCTCGTACCTGCTGGTGCAGCTCTCTCGTCTGACGAATTGCTCAGATCCGCTGGGGCTGTTCTGCTGTTCTGGGGTACTGGGATCTGCAGGTTGCTGAGTGGGTACAGCTGGGTCTCCTTGGCCACCTCTTGGGGCTCCAGGCCTGTCCTGCCAGGCCTCTCCGACCTTGGTGGCCACATCCTTCCCCTCAAAATCAGTCAACACGCTGAGGAAGAATAAGACCCTTATGAAGTGAGTGCCCTGAGACTAGACTTTGTTCTCCCATGGCAGGTAGGCTGGCTGTCATGTCTCGTGGACTTGGAGGGACTCATCTCCCCAAGAGTGGGGCAGACAGGAAGGAGGCACAATCCCCACCCCAAGGAGCAGTCAGTCTCCTCCTCAGTAGGACCCCCGCAGTGCTGCTCCTTTCTGACAAGGGCAAAGTCACCTGACGACTTCAATGAGGTGTTAAAAGACATCGTCTTCTGGCTGGAAACACACTGGTATTCTTGTCCCCATCCTCCCACTGCCATCTCTCCTTTCTCCAGTTCTTTCCCGCCTCCGGCCTCTCTAGGAAGACCTAAGCCATTCAGCCTTCTTCCCTGACCATGGTGCTCAAGACCTGTGCGCTGGCCAGGCTCATCAAATACCCGGCAGTCTAGGGAGGAGCTTCTCCCCCAAGCTACCCTGGAGGGCTCGGTAGGGGCAAGGGTAGGGGAGTGCGCACGTGTTGGTCACCAGATTCCCAAATCCGCTGTTGACCCCACAAAGGGGGGAAGGGCCAGGAGAATCCAAAATTTCTTAGGCGGGGCCATTATGAGAACCCTAGACCCATTTGTGATCCTCGAGCGCCATCTGGCGGCAGGAACCGGGACTGCTGCAGAAAAAGCCTCTCCACGGTCGATCTCGCCCAAAACAACCATTTTCTTTGTTGATCGTCTCATTTCCCGGCGAGCACCGCAGGCAGAGTCTGCGGCTGCAGGAAATGGCGGCACGCGCAGGCGTACTCACGCCGGCCGCACCCCGGCCTGTGCACGCACGATCTCAGCGCGCGTGCGTGCACCCGCCCACTTATCGTTGTGACCGCGTAGTTTTCACATGTGGAACCTTCTTGTCTTCTTTATTGGAAGTAGTCATAGCTATTCCTGGAAAGCAATAGCATTTTCATCCCCTGCCCCCCTTTTTTTTTTTTTGAGACGGAGTTTCGGTCTGTCGCCCAGGCTGGAGTGCAGTGGTGTGATCTCGACTCACTGCAACCTCCGCCTCCCGGGTTCCAGAGATTCTGGGACTACAGGCGCCCGCTGCCACGCGTGGCTAATTCTTTGTATTTTAGTAGAGACGGGGCTTCACCTTGTTGGCCAGGCTGGTTGTGAACTCCTGAACTCAGGCAATCCGCCCGCCTCGGCCTCTCAAACTGCTGGGATTACAGGCGTGAGCCACCGTGCCTGGCCATCCCTTTTTTTTTACAGATGAAAAAGTTGACATAAGGGTCCAATTTGCAACTAATAGTAGTCAAAATGGAACTTCCTTGTTCCTGCTGCAGTTCAACCTGATCAGGTGACTCCTGCTACATACACTTTTAGCGTCTCTAAACTTAGTTCCTCCCACCTAACCCCAGCTGCTTCTCTTCCCCTTCCAGCAGCCAAACTCCTTAGAAAGAGCTGTCTACGCTCACTCTTGTCACCTTTTCCTTCCTTTCTTACCATCAACATTCCATGGAACCTATTAATTGCTTCTGGAAAACTGAGTTCCTTCTGGGTTACACATTACGCCCGGGAGGCAGCAAATTCTTACAGAAATGGTGACATCTTACGAAAGATAACTTACAGTGGAACATTCCAAATGAACAACAACACACTGAAGTGCATTTTAAAAAAAAATTCTTTTGTGTTGTGGCTTGGCTCCCGGGGCAATGGTGCAGAGAGCCAGATCACCAGGGCCACTCAGGGAAAGGGAGCCCAGAAGCCTGGCATGCCAGCAAAAGGGTAAATATCTCTTCCCAGTCAGATTTCAGGCTTCTCTCTCTCTGTGCAAACTGATTGTAAAATCACTGTTTATCTCCTCTGTAAAATTTTAATTAATGCAAAAAGGAATTCTGAGGCTGTCTAGTCTTAAGCTGTAGTCAATCTGGTATATTTTGTGCTATAAAGTCGTTTTTCTGTGTCGAGGGGTACCTTAGGATAAAACATGGGCTTGGGCCCCCATAAGCTTGCTGCTCAAGATGGCCCAGCAAGCTGGTCAGTGACAAACTTTGCTGCAGGTCCCTGAAACCAACAAAAAACTGGACAAGGTCGCCATCCTGTTTTATGTCCTTGGGAGCTTGACCTTGTAACCATGTGGCAGTACTTTCTCCTTGTCTCTACCTTCCAGGGAACAGGAATTTTAGGGTTCATATCATAGTTAGTTCTAAAAATTATCTTGACTAGTTAAAAGCCTTTGCAAGCTCAAAATTAACTACTCTAGACTCCTTCTGGGCTCAGTAGTTAAGGTTTTGCCCTTTCACAGTGGCAGTCTGGGTTCGATTCCTGGCTTAGGAAATAAGTCCTTTCTGGTTTAATATCTGCATGACCTTGTCTATACCTTTCTCCTCCATGGACTGTCTTAAATTTTCCTTTGAGCACCTGGGAGTTCGAGACCAGCCTGGCCAACATGATGAAACCCCCTCTCTACTAACATACAAAAAAAAAAAAATAGCCAGACATGGTGGCACACGCCTGTAGTCCCAGCTGCTCCAGAGGCTGAGGCAGGAGAACTGCTTGAACTGGGGAGACAGAGGTTGCAGTGAGCCGAGATCATGCCACTGTCAGCCTAGGCGACAGAACAAGACTCCGTCTCAAAAAAAAAAAAAAAATTAACCTTGTAAAAAATTTTATGTATGATAATACTAAATTTAAAAGGGTATTATTAGGTTTTTCCATAAATTGAACATGGACATAAAAGCACAACAGGTTTTCTTAGAGCACTAATCTGCTCTTCAACAAAAATTGTAAAGGGTTATAAAAGGTTTATAAAATTCTTACCTTATGTTCAAACTGATTAAGATTGAATACATTTGTCTATAAGGTTTTATTTAAGAATTGGGTTTGACATCGATAATGCACTAATGCAACAGTGACATTTGGCTTATTTGGTATAAAAATCATGGGAGGCATTGTCAAAATAAAAATACTGTTTTGTTTTGTTTTGAGACTGAGTTTTGCCCTCGTTGCCCAGGCTGGAGTGCAATGGCATGATCTCTGCTCACTGCAACCTCCACCTCCTGGGTTCAGGCGATTCTCCAGTCTTAGCCTCCCGAGTAGCTGGGATTACAGGTGCATGCCACCATGCCTGGCTAATTTTTCTATTTTTAGTGGAGACAGGGTTTCACCATGTTGGCCAGGCTGCTCTTGAACTCCTGACCTCAGGTTATCCGCCTGCCTCGGCCTCCGAGAGTGCTGGGATTACAGGTGTAAGCCACCGCGCTTGGCCAATAAAAATAATGTTTAATCTTCAGGGTATATTTTTAGTGAATTATATTAATATATATTCCAAAATTATATGGGGTTTCTAAAATTCTAATATGTATATCAAGTGCAGATTATAAAAATTCAGTCATACAGGATTAATGAAAAGATCACTTAGTGAAGTGAGTAGACTCTTCGTCTAGCTCATTCTTTATTTTATTTAATTTAGGCAGTTTGTTTTATGGGGACCTCAGGTAAACAGCATACTTCAAACTCTGGGTATTATCCTACTGGTAGTCATAGTAGTCTCCCCAGTGCACTGTATTCTCTCAAAGGTTTCAAATGTTTGCATGCAGCCATCTCTGAAATGTCAAATGGTCTCTCTTCAACTGGAATAACAAAACTGATTGAAATGTATGATTATGAGGACATCATAACCTATGAATGACATGCTGAGACTGGAAACCTAAAATGATGGTAACTAGGTAACTAAAAGTGGTGCTAAGGCCCTAAGTTTTGGTCACACTCTCACCTAAGTGAGAACCTGGCCAATAAGGGGAAATATTTTTTTTTTTTTTTTTTAGGTGGAGTCTCGCTCTGTCACCAGGCTGGAGTGCAGTGGCGTGATCTTGGCTCACTGCAACCTCTGACTGCCAGGTTCAAGTGATTCTCTTGCCTCAGCCTCCCGAGTAGCTGGGATTACAGGCGCATGCCACCGCGCCCGGCTAATTTTTGTATTTTTAGTAGAGACAGGGTTTCACCATGTTGGCCATGATGGTCTCGATCTCCTGAGCTCGTGATCTGCCCGCCTCAGCCTCCCTAAGTGCTGGGATTACAGGCATGAGCCACCACGCCCAGCCAAGGGGAATTTTTTAAACAAAATTCTGGCAAGCCATTGTTGTGTACTGAGCTCATGCACTAGGACCCAACAGACCAAACCAAACAAAATGGAGTTGCTCATGCTAAATGTAACATAATCAAACTAAGACTTTAAGGAAACAAATAGTTATTAAAACAGACCAGGTTTTGTTTTTGTCCTGTAAACAGAACATTCTAGCATAAAGAGGTACCTTCTACTCAGTCCTTATTCTCTCCTTACAAAACCCACTGTCCTCCTGTTTCCCAGTGGGTTTCAAGACCATATAAGTACATTTACAAGGGTAATAGTGATATCAATAACTAAGGTTTTTGTCAATCTCTCAAAGTTGAGAAAATGACCAAAAAGGGGGAATTGTTAAAGCAAATTAAATACGGCCTGAGAAGGACTCCATAGTTCTATATTTGAGTCTTTGTCAATAAACTGTAACCTAGAGGCAGACAAAATTGAAAACCTAACTTAGGAGTGTGTACCTGTAACAATAGCTAACTCTTGGCCAATCCCAGCGGCCATACTTCAACCATTCATACACTGGTGAGTGTTCAAACTGTGTTCAAATAAGGCATACCCCCAACCTGTAACCAATCCAGCCGTTCTGTACCTCACTTCCAATTTCTGTACGTCATTTCCCCCCCTCCACCTTTTTTTTAATCTATAAATCTTCCACCATGTAGCTGCACTGGAGTCTCTGTGAATCTGCTGTGATTCTGGGGGCTGCCCGATTCACAAATAGTTCATTGCTCAATGAAACTCCTTTAAATTTAATCCGGCTGAGGTTTTTCTTTTATCACCATGTACCTGCGTCCTGCACCTCACCTCTTACATGTCTCATAGGTGTTACATTTAACATGCCCCCAAACATTTCTTCTACCTCGCTGGTTGAGAGTCTGAGTCAATGAGGTGATAACAGTTTTTTGAGATGAACAACACAGGGGGAGATACAGAATTAGTACATTAGTTAATTTGTTTTATTTGGTTGTTTTTGGTGAGAAGCTGTGTTGATAAAGATGGTTTGGGACATGCTGAGTTTTGGAAGGTGGCAGAAGTCCATAAGGCTACCTCACGGAACTACATATAGGTGAGCCTGCTGCTCCTACCAGTTGTTTCCCCTTGTTTCTCAAGAGTCTTAAGCCAGAAACCCAGAATGGATTATTGCCTGAAGGATGATCAAGTGTTCACAGCTGTCTGCTTTTTACCCTCTCCTTTGCCTTGACAGAATGTTAGGCAGGCTTCTGTCCTCCCCACAGGGCCTGAATTTTGCTTGCTCCTGGTTAAGTAAGTGCTGCAATGCAGAACATGCCCCACTTAGCAGCTTCTCCTGAGAACCGGCTGACCACAGGGAAACACATTTCTGGTCAAATCATGCCAAACAGGTTCCCCTTTGCTTGCCCACTGGCCCTTGAAAGTAGCTGAGCTGCTAGCTGTGCTTACTACTCCCTACTGAAAAAAAAAGGCTTTTTTTTTTTTATTATTTTGTGATGTTTTTTGTATTATTTTGTGATGTTTGCAAGTCCTGAGGTTGCAGCATTGTCCCTATTGCAATAGTCTTTTTAAATAAAGTATTGGTCGGGCACGGTGGCTCACACCTGTAATCCCAGCACTTTGAGAGGCCAAGGCGGGTGAATCACTTGGGGTCAGGAGTTCAAGACCAGCCTGGCCAGCATGGCGAAACCCCATCTCTATTAAAAATTGAAAAATTAGCTGGGCATGGTGGCGCACGCCTGTAATTCCAGCTACTCAGAAGGCTGAGGCGGGAGAATTGCTTAAACCCGGGAGGTGGTGGTTGCAGTGAGCTGAGATGGCACCTACACTCCAGCCTGGGTGACAGAGAAAGGCTCTGTCTCAAAAATAATAAAATAAAATAAAATAAAAGTCTCTATCTAAATCCATATTTGTTTTTTGTTTTTGAGACAGGGTCTCGCTCTGTCACCCAAGCTGGAGTGCAGTGGTGCAATAATAGTTCACTGCAGCCTCAACTCCTGGGCTCAAGCAATCCTCCACTACTTCAGCCTCCCAGGTAGCTGGGACTATAGGCACACACCACCATGCCTGGCTAATTTTTAAAATTTTTATAGATATAGGAGTCTCGCTATGTTACCCAGGCTGGTCTCGAACCCTTGGGCTCAAGTGATCTTCCTCCCTCAGCTTCTCAAGTGCTGGGATTACAGGTGTGAGCCATTGCACCCTGCCCAGAGACGGTATTTGCTTTTATTGGACACTTTTTATGGTTCTGTGATTCAGTTACTTTGATTCTGTTAAATGAGCTCTTCCCAGTTCTTTTCTGTTTGAGCAAGAATCTTCGCAGACAGAACTCTTCCTAGCTCTTTTTGAGTGGGGATTTAACCCCTGACTCTGTTGAGCAGGACTCTTCCTGGTCCTTTTCAATTTTAGCCAGAATCGTCCTGGATAGAAGTTTTCTTGGTTCCTTTTGAGTGGAGATTTACTCCAAATTCCTGGCTCTTTTGTGAGGCCTCATTGTTTCCCTTGACACCTTGTCTAGAGATTGCACAAGGAAAGCCCTTCAGCTCCTCAATGAGGACTGAAGAGAAACTTTGGCTCCCAGATGACGACTGTGTGCAGAACTTCCTAATGAGACTGTCCAGCCTGGCTCCTTTCTCTATTTGATCTGCCTCTTCCCACAGGTAACTCTCAATCTACTGGGTGCCCTTCCTCCTCCTCATCCTCCTCCTCCTCCCTTGCTGACTACATGCCCTGCCCCTATGGCACTCATTCTGTCCAGTATTTCCAAAACTGGCAAAAAAAAAAAAAAAAAGTAATCACGAAGGGTAATTTGGAACTTCAGTGACCTTATTAGGGAACCTGGGGTCTCCCCAAACCTGCTCATCTAAGATTCCCCCTTCTCATCTTCCTACCGCATCCCTCTTCCCTTCTTTTCACCACCTTGGACCTTCCCTTCAGCTCCCTGAATCTTTTCATCTGTCCCCTTCAATGCCTCTACCTCCTACATACCCCTATCTACTCTTCACCAGGCTTTCCCCTTCCCACTCAGCCCTCTCAACTGCCTATAGCCAGTAGAGCTTCAGGCCCCCTGCACCCATTGAGGGCTCGCCATTAGATCTCTATTTGTGTCTGTCTGTATGTTTAGTATACATGTATGTTGTATATGTGTAATAGTTCAGTACCTCCAGATGGCATTACCAAATTAATTTACAAAATCCCTTATCCTCTATTCTAATTGACTTAGAGATAAATAAGTACTTATATAAATTATTATAAAGCTCTCATAAATTAAGGAAACAACTTCTAATACTTTCAGTGTAAACAACAAAAAAGTATTCTTATAAAAACTAACCCAAATGCTTTTAAAACTCAAGTTCACAGAATTTATGTAAACTTTTGGCAAACAAAACTAGTTTAATATTGTTAGTTTAATAGACACCTATGTGTCTTTGAGTTATCAGCATTACATATAATACAACAGAATACAAGCATATATTTTTACTCTACTTGGGTATGTTCCTCCTAAACTTAAACAGGTTTACATGTTGAATAAGCTAGTATTATATCTACTACATGTTTAAGATTATAAAAATTTAAATTTGCTTTTAACCAAACTGAGTCATTATTCTGGCAAACTTTATTTCAACAGTAATTATGTTTTATAATATGTAAGCTTAAAGGCAGTTTCTAAAATCTTTTTGGTAACTTAAAACCTTAGACTTATGCTGAATTAAGTTAACTAAATTCATTAAATATCATTTATAAAGAAGATAAAATACTTAGTCACTAGACCTAAATTTAAGTTTATATACTTTTTGCTTTTTTTATGGTACAGTGTGACTACATATGGATCTGTTAAATGTGTTCATTTGTCCACATTGCAAAATGGTACTATAAAAAGTATATAACAACTATAAAAAGTTATGAGATGTATATTCATAAGCTTTACTAGTCTGCTACAAAATGCTGGTATATGATATTTCAAAATTACCTACCTCCTGTTTTCTCTGTGAAAGAGAAGTTATTAATGGTTAAAATTATAATAAGTAAATAAGTGTGTGTGTATATATATATATAAACTGCTAAAAGTAATAATGGCAAAAATGGCAAAGGGAAACAACTTTGTATGCAAATATGCTTTTCCTAAGGAAAAAGAGAATAGCTTTGTCCCAAATTAAAATGACAAATAATTTAAAAATGTGTGAGACAAAATGTAAACAAATATCTTTAAAATTAGAAAATGTTCACAGAAAAGGAATTTTATTTGTCATGGTTAAAACTTTTATTCAGTGTATTTATAAGATTTTCAAAAAAGAACTAATATCAAATATTATACTTGTATAAAATTAAAATGTTGGTTTCTCTGTTAAAATAACAAAATTTTCTTAGGCTAGGTGCAGTGGCTCACGCCTGTAATCCCAGCACTTTGGGAGGCTGAGGTGGGCAGTTCACCTGAGGTCAGGAGTTCGAGACCAGCCTGGCCAACATGGTGATCGCGCGACTGCACTCCAGCCTGGGCAACAGAGCAAGACTCCATCTCAAAAAAAAAAAAAAAAAATTCTTGATCATTGGTCTGTCCCTAATAAAAAGTTATAAATGGTCTGTTTTTCTTCTGAGTCATCTGCCTAAGAGGCAAAGATTTTATGTCTTATCAAAATACTGTAATGCCCTATCTGTATGTTCAGTTTATTATGTCCTTAGTTATTTTTTTAAAGTCTTTTCAATTTTAAAGGAACTGAAGATTCTTTACAACCATGTTACCTCATATGTTTACTTGAAAATTTTTACAACTCTGATTCACTAGCTAACCAAGTAGTATTTCTCGCTAACCCATAATGCTATTCAATCAAATGTTCGAGAACTCCTGACAACTCTTAACATTTGCCTTCCCACAATCAAAACTTAAATATATTTTATACCTAAAACTGGCTTTGGGATTTGCCAGGGACCTTCTGGAAAATCTCAAAGGATTAGTTCTTTCACCTTGTAACAAGAAAGGTGCAAAAACTAATTAGTCTTATTTAATATTGTATAAATTGCATTGGAAACATTGTCAAATCAAAAAAAAAATGCAGAACCTTCCCTAAATTAGTCTATAATGGGTAAAATGTCCTTAATATAAATATTTTAGAAATTCCATAGAATTCCTAGCGGGGTTTCAGTGTCCTCAGTGTACATGAGATATTGCTCTTTATCAAAGCCCCAGTGCTGCTTTGCCTTATATTAGATAAGAACAATACAAGGTTATCAATCATCATTTCAATTATGGGAAATTCACATTGCTCACTGATGGAATATTGTTAATATACAGATGTTTAGGACCTTTCCTGAACTGCCAATTTGATTTTATTCTGCACCCAAATCTCATGGTTATAAATATGTTCTTACTAGTTTATTTATGTTTTTCTCACTGGCTTGAAGCTTTCCCTTATATAAAAGGATCATTGCCACTAATGTTATTAAGCTTTTGTTAGAACAAGTATTCCCCACATGTGGAATTCTACCGCTTCTTTCAAATGACTAAGGAATCCATTTCCCCAGTAAAGTCATCCAAGAAATATAATGAGTTCTTCCTTTATCCCCCAAATTACATTGTCCTTATCATCCCCAGTCGTCTGAAATGATGGAAACAGTGGAGTATTAAAGTGAAAACTTGCCAACTGATGAAAAACTCAATCTCCCATGGCCTAAGGTTTTACCCTTAGCACTGACTGTCCTCTGGTCCTCTCGTGCTGGGTCATACGTACTCTCCCTCCATATGATATAATAACTGGCCCACCCATGAGATCTCCCTAGTGTCTAGACTCTCAAAGATTCTAATCTGGTCAATTCAGACATTTAAAAATAATGACAAGGATTTTTTTTAATTTTTCCATCTACTCTCCCTCGAAGTTCTGCTACTATCGTTGCCTACATCTCTGAAGGCTCTCACTCTGCCTGTCTCTGCCCTTCTTGGAACTCCAGGCTAGTTATCCACTAGGAGAGCACATCTAGTGGCTTTCTTCCTGGCGTGTGCCCAGACTAGGGCTGAGGGAATGCTTGCTACTTAGAACTATTAGCAGTAAGCAGCCCTTAAGCCCCTGGCCCACAGACTCTAAATGCTGCCCATCAGGTGCCATGACATAGTTGACCCTTCCTGATGAACCTAGCCTACTGAGATGCCATGCCAGTGACCAGACCCAAAGACTGCAAATAGAGAACCCCAGGGGGCCCGGAAAGGGGATTTGTCTACAGTCGCACCCCAGCATGCTACAGGATTTAGACCACTAAGAGGAACAGGAGAAGAGCACTTGCAGAGTGCTGCTGTCTGCCTCAGCAAAACAGCAGTGTGCCAGGGCAATCCAGCCAGGCCAGCCTAGGTAGGGCCTCCACCTGAAAGCCAGAGGCTTGCCTCAGGTGCCCTTGTCAGCTTGGGATCTCCACGGACCAGGCATTTGCTCAGTCAGTTGCAGGCAGTATAGAGGCAGGTTAGAGATACTTTGGCCACCACCTAAGCCAGGAGGGGTCACATACTCCACTCACTCGACCAGAAATGTGGCTTTCTAAATTGTCACTTCCCTCTCCGTCACTGCTCTCCCAAGTCTTACCTGTCATCCAATTTGGGATCTCTTCTACTTATTTTACAGTTCTGTCTCCATCTCCACAGCTAGTCCCCTAGTCCAGGCCCCATCATTTCTTACATGGAGGATGCTGTAAGCACTTCCTCTTCTCCCTGCTCCACTCTGCCCACTTCAGTCACTCTTCTCACTGCCACTGGAGATCCCATTGCAAAGCAATACTCTCGCCATATCACTCCCCTGCTTCAAACCTTCCTGGCTCCTCTTTGCCCTCGAAAGAAAATCTAAAGTCCTTGTTATGGCATAAAGTTCTGATCCTGCCCATCTGTGTCAGGGGTCCCCAAGACCATCCCTAGGCTTGGTGATTCACAAGAAGAACTCACAGGACACATCACATCATCACACTCAAGGCTATGGTTTATTATAGTGAAAAGATACGAAGCAAAATCAGCAAAGGGAAAAGCACACAAGGCAAATTTCTGAGGGAACCCGGGCACAAGCTTCCAGAGTCCTCTCCCAGTGGGTCACACAGGATTCACTCAGTTCCCCTCAGCAGTGAGTTGTGACAACAAGTGTGAAATGCTGTCGACCAGGGCAATTCATGAGAGACTCAGAGTCCAAGGATTTTATCGGGGACTGGTCACGTAGGCACCCTCTGCCCAGCCTTTACCTAACATGCACACGTTGCTTTCACCTATAGGAAACCTTCCCCATTATCTTGTAGCTGTAATTATCTGCTCACCCCTCCCACATCCATCACGTCACAGCCAGTTTCAGAGTGTGTACCCCATCAACTGCACCTGCTTATCCTCCGCTCCCTCCTCAATCCATTATAATCCAACTACAGCCTTTCCCACTGCCCCAACCTACTCCCCTCAAGGCAGTCATGAGTTCTACATAGCCAAATCTGATGGGCCTATTTCAGCATCTACAGAGCACTGGAAAGTTAGCTCAGCGTGGCTTGGTTTCCATGACGGTAGTCTTTCCTGATTCTTCCATTTATCCAAAATTTTCCTTCTCAATACCTCTCTGTAGCTCCTCTTCCTCCTTAAGACCTTTTGGAATTATTTTCCAAAATTATGGTCCATCTGCCTTTGCTTCTCTCATATTTTTACTTCTTTTCATTTTATATATTCAGCTAGGGTTTTAGGGGATCAATAATTAATATCCCCTCTTTTTTTCTTTTTGAGACAAAAGAAGAGCAGAAAATGGAGAGAAATGTCAGCTGATGAAGCAGCTTCCCTCAGCATCCCTGAACCACGTGGACTCACCCACCCAGCCAAGGGCCTGGCTGGACAACTGTCCCTGGAAGTCTGCAGAGAAAAGCCGAGAATACATGCTTTGTACACACTGCCTTCCAAAGGCATTCTCCAGGCAACCTCATGCATTCTCTTTAGTGACTTCCTATGAGCTGACAACTCCCAGCTCTCTAGCCCCAGGTCAGATCTTTGCTCAACTCCACATTTGTTTACTCAGTAGCCTACTGGACATCACTGGCTGGAGCCCCTACAGGCACTTCTCATTCGGCATGGCCCAGTGACCTTCTCATCTCTGTGCATCTCTCAGCGGGCCTGCCCCCAAACTCCTTACCCTCAGCTAGTTCCTGTCACCACCCATCCAATTGCCTAGCCCTGAAATCTGGGGAGCAACCTTGGCTACCACTTTTCCCTCACCGTTATCTTTATTTTTTTTATTTTTATTTTGGAGACAGGATCTTGTTTTGTTACCCAGGCTGGAGTACAGTGGCAGGAACATGGCTCCCTGTATCCTCGACGTGCAAGGCTCAAACAATCCTCCCACCTCAGCCTCCCAAGTAGCTGGTACTACAGGCATGTGCCACCACACCTGGCTAATGTTTTTAAATTTTTTGTAGAAATGGGGTCTTGCTGTGTTCCCCAGGCTAGTCTCAAACTCCTGGGCTCAAGCGATACTGCCACCTCGGCCTCCCAAAGTGCTGGGATGACAGGTGTGAGCCACCACGCCAAGCCCGCTTTTACCTTTAATAATTCAAAAATACTTGCAGCCTCATCACCTTGCCCCTGGTGTAAGCAAACAGTCTCCAATATGGCCTCCTGCCTTGTCTCGTCGTATACTCCCCTGGCCTGGTCCTCCACAGGGCAATGGAGGGATCTTCTTTGGACTCGAGTCTGGCTGTGGCACTCTCCTGCAGGAAAACCATCGGTGGCTCCCAAGGCCCTCAGGATGTGGGTCACACTCCTCAGCCTAGGAGCAGGTGCCTGCCCAGCCCCTACTTGGTGCTTCCTGCCAAGCCAGGCTGGATTAACCCTCCTTTGTGATGGCTACCTGACTGGATGTTCCCTATACACTTTGTGAGCCTCCACTCGGAATGCCTTCCCAAGCACGTCTGGCACATCTGGCAAAATCTCCCTCAGCCTTCCAAACCCAGCTCCAACATCACTCTCCCTGTAAAGAAAGCCTTTCCTGACACTCCCCCGCAAAACGAAAACAAAACCCAGAACCACTCGCCTCCTCCTTCATCCACAAGCCTCACTTTTTATACCCCTTCTGCATGGAACACTGACTAGTTCTAGAAGCCACACAATGTGACAGCAAGTCCAAAGTTGTTCACTCTGTTTTTGGACTGGGACCCTCCAGGGCCTGGAGCCAAGGAATCAAAGATGGGCTAGATATTCTTAGAAGGTAAAACTTGTTATCTAACAGTTGAGCTAGGCCCTAAAAATAACCTAACTATTAATAATTATGGAACCTCTGTGGTACAAGAAGCCCCAGAACAAAGAAGGCAGATGACTGTGTTTCTTTCATCCCTGCAAAAGGAACCCCAGGCTCCACCTGCTCCCCACAGCAGATGCCCTGCTGGATTCCACTAGCTCCTCTCTCGGGGCAATATGAGTCTTAGCTCTCTCCTTCTACATTTCTGTCTTGTGTAAGAAACTGTTCGCTTTGCACCCCTGGAATCACTGGCCTGTTGACGTGTCCAGAGCTGCAAGGACATGCAGTGTTTGCGCTGGCAGGCAAGATGCCTTCAAGAGAGCCTGACTTGAAACTCTCACACCAATGCCACATGGTCAGCTCCAGTAACAGGCACGTTTGTCCTCTTGCTCATGCACAGTGGCACACACCAACACATGGCCAGTCACATCCTGTGTCACTCTCTCATGCCTGCTCACACATGCTCCCTTTCTCTCCCTCTGGCCTCTCTCTCTCTGCTTCACTCTGTCACTTTTGCACTTTTACCCTCCTGTTTTTTTGCTCTTTCACACTCTGTCCTTCTCTGACAATGGCATTTTACCCACACAAATAGCCCTCACTCTGCCCAGGACCCCCACCTGTAGAGCACCTGTACTCTGAGAGACAGCCTTCCTTCCTGCCCCATGCATTGGGAATTAGCCAGGGCTTCTCACACCTGGGGACAGACACATCCTCCTATCACAGTCCCCTCCCAGCTCCTTGAGCCACAAGAAGCCTGATGACACTGCTCTAGGACCAGGGAATCACCATGACCCACTCACAGAACAGGAGCCTGGGTGTGCAATGTGTCGGGTATTGGCACAGGGTGTGGGGAAGTGGTTCCCATGTGGGTCGCAGACCTCAACAAAAACATGGGCTCCAGAGGCAGAGCCCACTGCAGCTCAGCCCTTACCTGCTGCCACAACTCTCTCGTCTGACAAGTTGCTCAGATCCGCTGGGGCTGCTCTGCCGCTCTGGGGTGCTGGGATCTGCAGGTTGCTGAGCGGGTACAGCTGGGTCTCCTTGGCCACCTCTTGGAGCTCCAGGCCTCTCCTGCCAGGCCTCTCCGACCCTGGTGGCCACATCCTTCCCCTCATAATCAGCCAAGGCCCTGAAGAAGAATAAGCACCCTTATGAAAAAAGTGCTCTGAAACTAACCCTGCCTCAGCCCCAGGACGCAAGCTGGCTGTCACCTCCTGTGGACTTGGAGGGACTCATATCCCTGAAAGCGGGGCAGAAAGGAGCCAGGCACAGCCCCAATTCCAGGGAGCAGACAGTCTCCTCCTTGGCAGGAGCCCAGCATCGCTGCTCCCTTCTCACTGAACAGGCCTCCATGTGTAATAGATGAAGCCGAAGCCTCCGATGTTTTTATTGTTGTTGTTTGGAGGCAGGGTCTCACTCTGTCGCCCAGGCTGGAGTGCAGTGGCATCATCTCGGCTCACTGCAACCTCTGCCTCCTGGGCTCAAGCCATCCTCCTGTCTCAGCCTTCTGAGTAGCAGAGACTACAGGTCTACACTACCACGCCCAGCTAATTTTTGTATTTTTTTTTTTTTCTGTAGAGACAAGGTTTCACCATGTTGCCCAGGCTGGTCTCAAGCGATCCTCCTGCCTTGGCCTCCCAAAGTGCAGGGATTACAGGCATGTGCCATTGCACCTGGCCCTCCAATTTTTGGCTTTTGCCACCCCTGAATCCAGCAAGAAGGACAGGGCTTCCCCCAGATGTCTCAGGCATCGAGCTCTTCAGGGGTCCTCCCTGGCCTCACCCCATGATTGCACTGCACCCTCCAATCTGGGTACCGTGGGAAAGAGGCTGCTAGCTGATCCTCCACTTCCACACCCCTCCCATCACCAGCCCCACACCGAGGTGCAAGGTACTGCTTCCAGAGTCTACTAGGCCAGGGGCAAACACCAAGTTGGGCTACTAAGAGAGTGAGCCCAGCATTTCAGAATGAAAATCTACTTCGCCATCACCTCGATCCTAGCTCACTCTGAATATAACCTTCCCAACATCACCAGCCTACCTTCAATAGCTGGTGGGGGCTACCCCGAGACAAGAACACGCTACAAACTACCCTGGGACTCTTTGTATATAGGAGTTAACTTTGTCTAGGCAGGCTTCCTGCCTTCAAGCTGGAATAACAAGGCCAACAGAGGCCACACTTTTTGGAAAGTATGCCCTGAAAGCAACATGATTCTTCAGCCTCAGGTGGAGGTCAAGGGAACTAAAATTCTCCAGCAGGCACAACAAGCTAATTGCCACCTCCAGCTGCACCAGGCAGAACTGCAGGCAAGTGAGTGTGACGCCACACAGTAACTGTGGGGAACCATCCCACTGGGCCTGTGCTTCTCTGTGCTGCTTCCACCCTTAGGGTCTGCTGCAGCCCATGCAGATCCAAAAGTGGTCTGCACAGGTAACACCAGTCCCAGGGTTGCCAGCAGGGTGCCCTGACACACCCATTCAATCTCTGTCAGTGACATGCTTGCTTGAGCCAAAGACAAACATACAAGGCCTGAAGAGCTTGTCTCCCTACTGTGGTAGCCCTGAGTTAGCTTTACTATGGATTTAATCAGAGTCCCGTCCTGTCCCACGTCCTCTGTAGAAATACACTAGTAGAGGTTGCCCTCACCAAGTCTGTGGATAGAGCCAGGATTATCCACAAAGAGAAATTTGGGCTCTATTGTGACACAGGGACAAATGGATGAACAAGGCTTCTTCTTTCCTAGGCCTGTGGCAGGGCCACTGTGATTTTAGGACATATGACCTATGTGGGTCATAAAAAGGAAATCTTAGGCAAACACTCACAGGAAGCTCTGCTGGACAATGTAACATCCAGGGGAATTACTTCCCAGCTATCCTGTCCGAGCTCCTCATGAACTTCCTGGAAGTCAAGTGGTTAGAGATAGGCAAGGTAACATAGGGGATGGTGACCAACGGGATTTTGGATTTTGGATTAATTTCTCTGAAGCCTTTCCTTCTGAGTGTAATTGGACCAAAGATCCAGTAGCCTAATACAGCCACTGTCAACTCCTAACACAACCATAATCTACACACTTCCATTCTTTTAAAAAACGGAAATTGTAGTCCCGGCGTAGTGGTTCACGCCTGTAATTTCAGTACTTTGGCAGGCAGAAGTGGGTGGATCAGTTGAGGTCAGGAGTTTGAGACCAGCCTGCGCAACATGGCAAAAACTCCTCTCTACAAAAATAAGCCAGGTGCAGTGGTGTGTGCCTGTAGTCCCAGCTACTTGGGAGGTTAAGGCAGGAGAATCACTTGAGCCCAGGAGGTAGAGGTTGCAGTAAGCCGAGATCACCCCATTGCACTCCAGTCTGGGGCGACAGAAGTGAAACATTGTTTCAAAAACATATATATATGAGATATACATCATATATATGATATACATATACATATACATATATAGATATAGATAATATTTGTAGAGATGAGGTCTCACTACGTTGCCCACGCTGATCTCAATCCCCGGAACTCAAGTGGTCTTCCCGCCTCGGCCTCTCAAAGTATAGGATTACAGGTGGGTATGAGCCACTGCACCCAGCTGACACTTCCACCCTTGTACTGCCTCCACTGGCCAACAACGGTTGCCAGTGGTGAGGAAATGTGGTGCCTAAACTTCACCTGATCCTCATGCAGAAAAAATATAAACGAGAAGCCCATGCTTGCAACATAATGAGGAAAACAGCATGTTCTAGATGGAAAATTTGATGACAAAAGTTTAGTAGGAAGAAGATGAGATATCGTGTCATGTCAAATGAAATCAAACCAATAAAGCTGGTTAAGTTAGCTTTCCAGGTGTCCCTGAACACCTCTGAGAGGAGGAGATATTCCTCTGGTGCTGCTTCACTTAGCTCGCAGGTTTAAATGTCCTACAGGCTTTACATATACAAACCGATTTGGCCATTTCAACAACCCTATATGGTAGGAGGTATGATTACCACTATTCCGCACGTGAGGAACCTGAGGCACAGAGAAGATGAGTAACATGCCCAAGGTCACGGTGCTTGTAAGTGACAGAGCTTGGACTGGAACCCAAAGCACCAGAGTCCAGGCTCTCAACCACTATACTATACCGCCTCTCCCTGTAGTGTGATGGAGCGGCCCAAGATGGAATAGGGCGGAGTCCCCACAGTTTGGGACAGTTAAAACTGTGTTGTAACCTAGGGAAAGTAAGGCTCCACTGCCCTGCGGGATGTCAGGATGACGCCACCCCCATGGCGCTCCCTCATCAAACTCCTAGGGAACGAAGCCCCTCCTCACTGCCCCACAGACCAGCCCCGGTCAGCCCGAGGGCCCAGCGTGGTTGGAGGGTCCAGCTGCCTTCCCTGTCTGCACGTCCACACCCCCTCCCCCTGGGCAGCCCTGACGACCCGTGTCCAGTGTCCCAGAGGCCATGGCCCCAGGGCTCCCTGCGAAACAAGCTCAAGCCGCAGGGGCCCCGTTCGGCCCCTCGCGGGACCGCGCTTCCTCCCGCCGGCGACGGTCCACGCGCGGTCACCCCAAAGCCACTCTGGCCGCGGCTTCAGACCTTACGCGGGGGAAGGGGCAGCCAGCTCCTCGGGCCCATTCGTGATCCTCGGGCGACCTCTGGCGGCCGGCACGGGCATGGCCTCAAGAGAATCCCCGCCGAGGCCGAGCTCGTCCCGGGCGGCCATTTCACTTTGTGGACGGTCGCATTTTCCCGGCGGGCACTGCGACCGAGTTCGGGGCTTCAAGAAATGGCGGCCTACGCAGGCGTACTCACTACGGGCGCGTGCTCGCCGAGGTGCACAGGCGCGCACGCGTCGCGTACGCTGGTGGCGAGCGCGCATTCGCGCAGGCGCACACGTCCTGTGCCCGCTACCCAGATTTCGGGGAAGGTGAGGGGTGTGGTTCTGTGCCATCCCTTTTTCTTTTCCGTCCCTGCTGTCTTCCCAAATAGATCGTCAAGGCTCTACAGCAAGGTTTGTCAACCTTAGCACTATTACCATTTTGAACCCCATAATTCTATGGTGTGTGTTGGGGGATGTGGGGCAGCATCCCAGATCTCTGCATATAAGAAGCCAGTAGTGTCTCCCACTCCCAGTTTTGACAACCAAAAATGGCTCCAGACATTGTATCGTAGCAGGCTGGAAGCTTTGGGAGATGCCCCTGGGTCAGAACCACTACCTGAGAACGATGGTTCTCGACCTAGCCTGGAAGGAGAACAAACTGGGGAGCTTTGAAAAAGACACATGATGGAGACCCACCCCAGAAAAATAAAATCCAAATCTCTACCTGGGACTTCGGGAAGTTTTTGTTGTGTTGTAAACCAAAAATAAAATTCTAAGCTCCCCAGCTGAATGAATGGACACTTCTCTCAGCCAAGGGGACACAACGTGAAAAACTAGTTCAGGTCATGATGAGAAAGGGGAAGGTCAGACATGCCTCAATATATTCTCCTCCCTTTGGAATTCATGCCCAACTGACCAGTATTAACATTGAGAGAGATATTCAGACTGACAAAACAGACTCCTTGAAGCAATAATATGCCAAATTCCAACCTGACTCTAGTATAGCATCACATGACAGACAGCAGGTAATGAAAGAAATTGAAGTATTTTACACCAAAATATATTTTTTGACATATTTTGAAATGACCTGGCAAAGCTGTCTCTCCTGGGGGAAATTTACATTCTGTAGAGAATCTCCTTCCCTTTCCAGGACTTTTTCTGATCTGAGAGTCTAGCACCTTTTAAAGGTCTGAATAAGAAACATTGGCCATCTATTGCTTCTAAGGGCGGCCACTTATGAGACTTCACCTATATAAGAACTCTGGTCTCCACAACCCCTTATCTTAACCCAGGCACTCCTTTCTATTGATTCCAGGTCTTTAGAGAATAACAACTCTTTCAACCAATTGCCAATCAGAAAATCTCTGAATCCACCTATGACCTGGAACCCCACCCCCACCCCCACCCCCACCACACTCCCAGCTTTGAGGTGTCCGGCCTTTCTGGACCTAACTAATGTATACCTAGGCCTTTCTGGACCTAACTAATGTATACCTCACATGTATTGATTGATGTCTTATGTCTCCCTAGAACATAAAAAACCAAGCTGTAAGTGAACCACCCTGGGCACATGCTCTCAGGACCTCCTGAGGCTGTGTCACGGGTCATAGTCCTAACATTTGGCTCAGAATTTCTTCAAATATTTTACAGAGTATGGCCTTTTTCATCAACAGTGTATTTCAGTACTTCCTAGGTGATTCTCAAGTACAGCCAGAGTTGTGAAACACTGTAATCAAGAAAGTTTGTATTGGCCAGGCACAGTGGCTCACGCCTGTAATCCCAGCAATTTGGGAGGCCAAGATGGGTGGATGGCTTGATGTCAGGAGTTTGAGACCAGCCTGGCCAACACAGTGAAACCCTATCCCTAGTAAAAATATAAAAATTAGCTGGGCGTGGTGGCATGTGCCTGTAATCCCAGCTACTTAGGAGGCTGAGGCAGGAGAATCGTTTGAACCCAGGAGGCAGAGGTTGCAGTGAGTCGAGATTGCGCCACTGCACCCCAGCTGGGGCGACAAAGCAAAACTCTGTCTCAAAAAAAAAAAAAAAAAAAAAAAACACCTCTGATTTTGCAGACGTTTAAACATCAGAGGAAAGTAGCGTGAGCCTGGCTCTAGAGTTGGCTGGATCTGGGCTCTGTTCCTAAGTGTGTTCATTACAGGAGTGAGTCCCTCAATTTTCTCCTCTGTCAAGTTGCATAATAAGAAGCCTTATCCTTTTCCACGTTTGGGGAAAATTAAGGTGAGATCACACAGCATGTTAACCATGTTAACCAGCTGTAAGTTACTGATTCTGGGTCTTGAGACTAGGCTCCAAAGACAAGATTTCATAAACTAGTTTTTCGTAGTTTCTCCTGAGGATTTTCTTAGAGCCTCTTCCCTTGGAACTCAGTTCTGCCACTTGTAAGGCCTTGGCTAAGTCACTTAATCTTTCTATGCTTCAGTTTCCCACCTTACCCATCTCACAAGTTGCTGGGAAGGCTGTAAGGCACCTAGCACAGCACAGTATTGGTGTCAGCTGTTGTTTTCACTCTGATTGTTAATTGTCAGTGCAATTCGAATGAGAAAAGAAACACAATAAGGCCTCATACCTTAGATATCCATTGCCCACCCCAGCCCCCAGCATCTTGGTTTAAGTAAAAAAGCAACAGCAATGTGGTATGAAAATGCAAACATGCATTCACCTTTTAAACACCTAAATCACATGAGACTCCCCTTTGGCTTAAAACTTGAAATAAGATCCAATCTCTTAACCATGGCTTACCAAGGCCCTGCTCCATCTGTGGCCCTCCTCACTGGCCAAGCTCCAGCCACTCTGTCCTTTGGAACATGCTAAGCATGTTCCCACCTCAGGGTTAGTTGGTTTGTGGTTCCTTATCTATAGCTCTCTCCACCGTGTTCTTTCTAGAGTTGGCTCCTTCTCCTCTTTAGAGGAGATCGCCTGAGTTGCCTTTTCCACCCACCTAAGTAGTACCCTCCTCACTGCCATCACTCTATCTCAGCTGCGGCTGTTTTCTTCGGAGCACTATCCTTCCCAGGAGGCACAGAGACCTAGGCTCCAGGCTTTTGGGTTTTGTTGTAATTAGGCATAAACCTTTGAGAGACTGTGAGGAGAACCGTATGAGACACTGTGAGTAGAGGGCTGTGCACACAGTGGACTCCAATATCACAGTACAAGAGGCCAATCAAGCCCTACCTAGTTCACTGAGCCTCCTCTTCCAGCACTCCCCAACAAGGACACTCATCGCTGACCACATCCAGCTACATACAGTCCCCATGAAGCCCCCTTCCCCTGCTCTAGCGCTCATGTATTGCTCTAATCTGGACCAGCCTTTGCCCACCCCCTGCCTGAGAGTTCCTGGAGGGCAGAGGTGTTTCTGATTTGTCTGCATGCTCCAGCCTCCAGCAAAAGGCAGTTGCTGTCAGAGTGGTTGCTGACTGAAAGACCCTTTCTGACTATGATGTATTTCCTGGCCAAGGCAACAGTTTAGTGGAAAGCTCCCTGGCCCCAGAAGCCAGAGGGTTCTGGTTGGGGCTTCTGCCCTTGCTATGTGCCTCAGGCCAGCTCACAAACCTTGCTGGCCTCACCTTCCCAGCCAAAGGCCAATGGACACACAGCCCAAGCTGCCTCTCTCCACCCCAGAAGTTCAGCACTGTCTGCTCATGCCTTACCCCTTTGGGTCTGCCTTTGCATCCTCCTGGGCTGCTGTGCTGTTGCTCTTCCTATCAGCAGGGACAGCAGAGACTGAAGTGGCACTGGAGCTGAGGAAGGAAACACAGGCCTGCTGAGATCTCAGACCAAAGAAGGCTGGGGCCCAGGTCTTCCCCCTCCAGGCTGCCTTCTCACCAGAAAGGGAGGAACTGTGTCTTCCAGTAAAGGCTGGTGTCTCAGTCCTGGCATTAGTGTGGCACCGATGCCACTGTGTGTGACAACCTCATGTCAGCTTTGGACATGGCCTTAGCACCTGAGTTCAAGAGCAAACACTGCCCCTGACCAACTTGGGTTCCCTGGGGAAGTCTCCTGGTTTTGGGTTCTAGTATCCTGTAAGGTACCTGGATGTGCTTTGTTCAAGGAATAGGCAGAGGGGGATATCCAGGCCTGCATGACTCAATGAGTCTGGTGCACAGGTGCACACCTCCACTTCTTATATAACCTGTTTATGTAAGTTCATACTTGGCTCTAAACCACTATTGTCTGTAAAAGGTATAACTGCCCTGTTGACGCTGTGTATGGGGGACATGTCTCTTGGGGCTTGGCTCAGCTCAACATAGCTTGACATGGCGGGTGCACGGGAACCTAGAGAAAGAGAGAGAGCAAGAGCTGTCTGTCTTTGCAGGTGGACAGAGGGGAGCCAGGACAGAGGGGAGCCAGGACACAGCTTGGCTTGCCCGTGCCCAGGGAGAGAAAGAATTAAGCTGCTGACCCTGAAGGCAAGGGAGAGCTGGCCACGCAGCTGTGCGTAGGGGCCACCGGACTAAGCAGCCAAGACAGGGCAGACGGTGTGAGAGTAAGCTGCTAATGAGAAAGCTAGTTTGAGAAAGCTGTGTAAGAGAGCTGCTGCTGAGTAAAGCCATGTCTCATTTACCTGCTATCTCTCGAGTGTTCTTCCAGCTCCCTGCCCCACGTCCACCCATTCCCCTTAGCCCTCAGCTGCGGCTGGAACCTGACCCTGAGCATGACGTATCCTTACCTGACCTACACCTCTGTAGGGTTTATGGGAGTTAAGAAAGATCGTTCCTTACTAGGACTTGCCAAATGCTCCACACACCCACAGCAAAGTGGCCATGCCCACTGGTGGATTGGTGGGTGAAACAGGGCAGACGCTTACAGCATGGGAATGCACAGCTTCTTCCCATTGTACCTTTGTGCCCCAGGAGCCATTTTTGCCCATCCCAGCCACCGGTCCTGTGCTCCTGGGAACTGAGCCCTCTAATGCTGGCTGCCCCTGGGAATCTTCTCCCTGACTCCTGCTTGCTAAACCTGGCTGTAGTCCCTACAGCAGAGGTTCTCTGAGACCTCCTAGCAGGATCTCTTCCCAGGCTCTGCCTTCAGATGCCCTCCTCTCTGCCACCTCAGCTTGGGTCCATGTAGGTTGGTGCTGGGCTCTCTGGGTGAGCAGACATATCACCCATCCCTCTTCTTCCACTGCCCCTGGTCAGAGCTCCCCCTGGAGTTCCCTGTCTTGCTGTGATCACCTGATGTGAAAGTGGCATGGAGCTGAGAAGTTCGAGGGGGATCCTGGGGTGCTGCAGCTGAGGCTGGGCCCCAAAGGCTGTGTCTGGCAATGGGATAGGGCACTAGGGCAGTGGCCCTAACCTTACCTGATGGCTGCTGGTCTAGGCTTGCAGGACTGAGAGTTGGCACTGTGCCCATCCTGGTCTTCCAGGAAAGAGGCAAAGCTAGCAGCTGCACACAGCCTGTGAAAGAAGGCCAGACCTGGTCCAGGTTCAGGACTTTGTGTCTGTATGTCTACCCTCTCCCGAGAAAGTGGATCCTGCCCCCCACAGATGATGAGGACCAAGAAGCTGCTCAAATGGATGCTTGAGGAACAATATTTATATCTCAAGGCAGCCTGACACCTGGGGCTCTGTGGCATAGTGGTTGCCCTCTGGCGTTGCAAATCATGGCTTTGCTATCTCCCAGCTGTGTGACATTGGGCATGTTACCTGACCTTTTTTTCTGGGCCTCAGTTTTACCATCAATGAAATAGGGATGCTAATCATGTCTGTCTCGTAAGTATTCTGAGAAAAGTAAATGAGTTCATAGATGCCAAGTACTTTGAATAATGCCTGGGCCATAACATGTGCTAATGTGTTCCTGTTACCACAGGGCCCAGTGGCTGTTTATAGAAGCAGTGCACCTTCCCAGTCCACCTGTATTCACCCACTCAATATGGATTTAGTGGGGAATGTCTTACCCAACCTTCTCAGGGTGGAGTCACATTCTCTGTGTCTCTGTAAACCAGGCAGACTGATGCTCACGGCATGCTGAACAATCACTGCCTATACAAGCCTGTGCCCTCCACTAACCAGCACACTCACTAAGAGGTGCTCTTGTTTGGTCCCAGACCTCTTTATGCCAGTTGTATTTGCACAAGAAGGGGACAGCAGACCCTGGCCTCTGAAACCAATGTCTCTGAGCAGATCCAAGGAAAGGCCCCTGGGGCAGCAACTCAGTTCTTTGAGCTGCCACTAATGGAGAAGAATCACTAAGTTCGATGATTAAGTAAATCCATGAAAATGAATGGAAAAGGAGAGTGGTTGTTGCCATGAGAAACAACCTTTCCTTTGGAAAAACAAGGCAGGACGCGATGGCTCACGCCTGTAATCCCAGCACTTTGGGAGGCTGAGGCGGGTGGATCACGAGTTCAGGAGATCGAGACCATCCTGGCTAACACGGTGAAACCCCGTCTCTACTAAAAAATACAAAAAATTAGCCGGGCGTGGTGGCGGGCGCCTGTAGTCCCAGCTACTTGGGAGGCTGAGGCAGGACAATGGCATGAACTCAGGAGGCGGAGCTTGCAGTGAGCCGAGATCGCACCAGTGCACTCCAGCCTGGGGGACAGAGCAAGAGTCCGTCTCAAAAAAAAAAAAAAAGGAAAAACAATAAAGGAGTTTGTTGAAAATTATAGTCAAACTAAGTGTGGTCAGCCCTCTATGTTGTGGGTTCCACATCTGTGGATTCAACCAACTTCAGATTGAAAATATTTGGGACCAGGTACAGTGGCTCATGCCTGTAATCCCAGCACTTTGGGAGGCTGAGGTCGGTGGACTGCTTGAGCCCAGGAGTTCCAAACCAGCCTGGGCAACCTGGTAAAACCTCGTCTCTACCAAAAATACAAAAGTTAGCCAGGCGTGGTGGTCCACGCCTGTAGTCCCAGCTACTTGGGAGGCTGATGTGGGAGGATCCCTTGAGCCCCAGAGGTTGAGGCTGCTGTGAGCTGTGATCACAGCACTGCACTCCAGCCCTGGTGACAGAGCAAGGTCCTGTCTGAAAAAGGAGAGGAGAGGAGAGGAGAGGATGAGATGAGATGTGGGAAAAATAATTAAAATAGGATGGCTGCATCTGTACTGACCATGTACAGGCTTTTTTCTGTCATCATTCCCTAAACAATACAGTATAACAACTATTTACATACCACTTACATTGTATGAGGTATTATAATAATCTAGAGATGCTTTAAAGGGTACAGGAGGATGTGCATAGGTTACATGCAAATGCTACACCATTTTATATCAGGGACTTCAACATGCATGGATTTTGGTATATGAGTGAGGTTCTGGAACCAATCCCCCACAGATACCTAGGGACTACTATATAGGTAAGACAACTGTAAAAGACTGGGTTAAAATTCATGAAAATCTAGAAGATTCTTCAGATGACTTTACAAGTAACTTTGAGGCTTGGTTTCATTTTAAGGAAACAGTGGACAGCACAGGCTTCATGTTATGAGGGTGTATAAGCAGGCGGGGTGACATGGAGGAGACCAGAGCCACCCAATCACAGTAGACCAGAAGTCTCTTCCGCGACAGCCATCAGCAGAGCCAGTCAAGCTGCACCACTGTGGGGAGAGTAGCAGGAGCCCCGACTGGATAGAAGGCCAAAGATTCTGCCATGCAGGACCCAGTGGGCCATGGGAAAGGGTTTGGACTTCATTCTAAGGAAAATGGAGAGCCACTAGAAGGTTTTAGCAGGGGAGAAATGTGATCTAGCTTATTTTTAAAAAGATCCCTCCAATGCCTCTGCAGATGGCAAAAAGATGCAGGCTGCATGGACAGGGCTCTAGCGGAGTCCTCCCCATTAGTGGCAGCTTAAAGAACAGAGTCTCTGGTGGCCTCTCCTTGGACCTGCTCGGAGACAGTGGTTTCAGAGGCCAGGACCTGCTGTCCCCTTCCTGTGTTGACTTGTGGGCCTGGATTTAGAATTCGGGCTCTGGTTCCATGGCATGAATTGCAAACTATTGAAGTTAGTGAGGGAAAGGGGCCCTGGGTGTGCTGAGGGAAGTAGGAAAGCATCAGCAGGGCCTTCCCCACAGGATTCCCTCCTTGGCCAGACTGCAGTAGGATGCAGGAGGCAGATGATATCTTGCGGTTGTAGCTCTTTGCAGACACTGGCTTTGCCACTCCTCCCTAGCCATCTGCTCTGAACCAGAAGGACTCTAGCATAGTTTGGAGCTAAACTATTTATGCCAACATCTGCATACCTAGCCTTTGCCCCAAGAATGATTCAGGCTTGGTTTGGAACCACTTAGGGACAAGAGGGACCTTGCCACTCTGCAAATCACCTGAGAAAGTGGCCCCTGACTCCCTCCAGGTCCAAGAAGCCAGAGCCCAGCTGGACACGCTGGTCTCTCCAGGGCTACCGCTTTTCCTCTCCCTGAACCTCAGAGCAGAGCTGCCTGGGGTAGGGATGGGGCAGGAAAAGGAGAGAAGGGAGAAAGCAGGAGCAAAGGGCCTCCTAGCTGGTCCTCAGAGCTTAACCAAGAAGTAAGAAGGTGCCGACTCTTCCATCATTCAGTCATTCACTCATTAATTTGTCCCTTCATGTATTCCCTACACGTTCATTTGACCAGCCCAAGACCAGCACCATGTGAGGGCTGGGCCTCCAGCTGTGAGTGGGCCTAGTGCCTACTCTGGAGGAGCTTGAGGGCCAGTGGCAGGGATCAGAAAAATGAACAAGATTCCAAAAAGTGGAAAGCCCAAGGACACAGGATGTGGTGGAATGTGGGAGTGTGGGAGAAGCAGTAGACAGGAGCCATAGGAAGTGACCAGTGCCCCACCCATAGCAGCCCAAGCAGCCTGGCAGCTTGACCCTGGTCTGTCACCAGGGGCATGAGAGAACCTGCCTCCCCCGGGCAGCTCACCTTCCTCTCTCGGAGCCGATGTCTACTGCAGCCAAGCCTTCAGGCCGGGAGCCCGTGGCTCCGGATCCCACATTGCCATCACTCAACTGTGCACTTGACCTGTTATGAGAAGTGGAGTATTTGCTGACTCTAGTTGCGTTTTGATCTCATCTAACCCAGATGCCATGAGAGTGGGCCTCAAGACCAGAAGCACAGGCCTTTGGCTGCTACTCTGTGCTGCTCTGACCAGAGCTGAGCCAAGCCCAAGTTGACTCTAACAGGAAGTATTTCTGTATTTTTTCCAAACCTGATGGGTTGGTTGGGAGCAAGGTGGAAAGTCAGGAGGAGGTTAGTTCGTTGGTGGTGGGGGGAGCTGATTGCCAACAGAGCAAGGGGCAAGACATGTGGGTCTGGTAATAAGCCATAGAGGGATTCCTTTCCTCATTTCCAGGGCTCAGGGTTCCAGCTAGGGGCTCCAGGGATCCACACTGAGAAGACGGGTGTGTGGGTTCTTAGCTGTAACTGGCTACCAGGTTCTCACTGAAGAAATGCCCAGCCTGCAGCCACTGCTCACCAGACACATTTGGCACTGGTCTGGCTTGGAGGACAGGTCAGTGGGCTGGCTGTGCAGCGACTGGGGACAATCATCCCATCTGGACTCATCATCCACCGCTATGGCTCCAACTTCCCGTCCTGGACCCCTCACCCCTTGCCACAATGTCTCCCTTAGTCCACGGGTCATCCTGAAAGTCTCCGCTACATGCTCTATGGGGGCCCACATACTTTGGTCACTGACTCTCCCAGACTGCCAGCTTGGTGGCCTTGCTTTGCCCTGGCCATTGGCAGGGCTGCTTTGTCCTGCAGTAAAAGCACAGTGAGTGTGGAAGCTTCAGGGGAATGGAAGGAACTCAGCACAGGCCAGGAGCTGGGGATAGCCTGCCCTGGAGTTTGGTCCTGCTCTCTAACTGGCTCCCTGAGGAATCATGGCAGGGGCCTACCTCCCTCCAGGCCTCATTCATTCATTCTTTCTTTCTTTCAACAGATGTTCATTAAAGACCTGCAGTACCCCAGGTACTGGGGGAACAGTGGGAACAGGACCTTCCTGGCCCCAGCTGCATCCATTGACATTGCACCGGAGGCCATGGAAGTCCTTCAGCTGGGTGTATGTGGGCTCCGTGTTCTGGGAATGAAGTGTCTGCTTCCTGCACTGAGTTACCTTGCAGCATCTGTGTTGGGGGCCCTGAAAGCCTCCTCACCAGCCAAGTCCCTCTGGAGCTCTCTGGAGCAGGGGGCCTCCTTGTCTTTGTTGCCTGGGGAAGACCTATGGAGGAAAGAAATGGAAGTTAACCATGCAGCAGCCATTCACACTCAGGTGTGGGCTGTTACCTCATCCTCAAACGCCAGCTGTCTCCACGGAGCTTAAAACCTGCTACTGGGCCGGGTGCAGTGGCTCACGCCTATAACCCAGCATTTTGAGAGGCCGAGGCAAGAGGATCACTTGAGCCAGGAGTTCAAGACCAGCCTGAGAAACACAGCTAGACTCCATCTCCACAAAAATATTTTTGAAAGTTAGTCAGGAGTGGTGGTGTGTGCCTGTGGTCCCAGCTACTTGGGAGGTTGAACCTGGAAGGTTGAGGCTGCAGCGAGCTGTGATGGCACCACTGCACTTGAGCCTGGGCACACACAGCAAGATGCTGTCTTAAAAAACAGAACCAAAAACAAACAAACCCTGCTGATTGACAGATTGGCCAATTATCAAAACTTCATTACTAATAGCTACTGTTTTTTGTTTTTTGTTGTTGTTGTTTTATAGCTACTGTGCTGGGATTACAGGTGTGAGCCACTGTGCCTGGCAATAGCTACTGTTGATTGAGCATTTGAGCCTGTTCTCGTGACTTTATATGCATTAACTCTGCAAATCAACCCCAGGATATGGGCACTGTTATCACCCATGCCCATCTTTCAGATGAGCAAACGGAGGCACACAAAGCCCCTGTGATTTGCCCCAAATTTCACAGGTAATAAGAGGAGTAGCTGGGATTTGAGTTCTGGACTATATCCCTGATCCTAATCTCCTAATTTAAGCCCCCTTCTGTTCTCCTTCAGGTCCTCAGGGAGCCCCATGTTGTCAAATCCAGGAGAGACAGTCCCATCATTATTTCAAACCACCATTCAGTACTGCTGACCCAGTGGGCCACTCCAGCCTTCTCACCACCCCTCCTCCCTTGATCCTGTCAACACCACCTGCCTACCTCCCTGGCCACACACCTTCCTGGTCTCCGCCTTTTTCTCCTCCCTTTGGCGTGCTCCACCACTTGCTGGGCTGTCTCCTCCCCTCCCAAGGTGTCAACTGCCACCCTTGAAGCAGGGATCTCCACTTGTTCCTGCCTCTCCTTTATACTGGCCTGCACACCCACTAACTCCCAACTGGCCCTCAGGAGGCCCACTCTCAACATGGCGAGAAGAGACTGCCCTCGCCCAGCTGTCCCCAGGAGGGCTGGCCAGGTGGCTGCCACCTGCATACTGAGGTCGGTGCCCAGCTTCCATTGGCTCACCATGAGCCCCATGTAAAGCTAGTTTACGCTCATGATTTCAGCTCTATTCTGTCTGCATATAACGTGGAAATCTCTTGAGCCCTAATCACTCTCTCAAACCTCAATCACAAACCTTAAAATACCTCCCTCCTGGAAATTTTGACTTCAATGCCTACGAATAAACTCGTCAAATGAGTTCACTCAGCAAATGCCAAGTCTTTCCATCACCCCTCTCTGTCCCCCTGCTCCCTGCCCCAACTAGTACAATGAGCTATGGTGCAGAAGGTGGAAGGTGGGAGTAGGGCAGGCTGAGCGGATCTGCCTGCTCTGGACCATGTGACCTTGAGCAAGTTACTTAACCATTCAGGGTCTCAGTTTCTTAATCTGTAAAATGGGCATAGTGATTGTATCTACATCCATGCAGAATGGATGCTGCCATGCAGAATCGACAAGCCCTCAGATGCTGCCTGGGGAAGAAACTCAGGAGAAGGACATGACCCAGAAGACAGGACATTTGAGGTGGAACAGAAAGATGAAGAGGGGAAAGGGCATCTCAGGCAGAGCCTCCAGCCTGCACAGAGAAAGGCCCAGGGAGGGAGGAGCCTGCAGGTGGGGCCAGGTACTGAGTTCAGGCTGCAGAGCATAGTGGGAGGGGCTTTGCAGGGCTTTCTGCAGGGGGCTGGCATAACTACTTCTGCCCTTTGGAAACATCACCCAGGTAGATGTGGAAGGGAGTCCAGGGATGGGACAGTAGGAAACGGTCGCAGACAACTGGGTGAGTAGCAGTGGAGGCCTGGGCCAGGGGCAGAGCAATAGGGATGGAAACATCTCTAAAATAAAGTGGACAGGACTTGGTGCCTTGGGGGCAGAATTAAAGTGGGAGGAGCCAAGGAGGAGGGTAAAGGGACCTAGAGATCGCTCAGGACTCATCTTGGATGTCAATTCCTCCAGGAAGCCCTCCCCAAGCACTCCCACCCACCACACTGTTGAGAGGCCTCTGCTCGAAGTTCCTGCCACCCCAGGGATTAAGGGATGACCTTCAGTGTACACTCCCGCTTCTCTCCCCAGTCCCTGGCCTTCACAAGGTAGGGGCCCAGTCTCCCTGCTCGGATCTCTCCTAGCCTCCACCCCAGCCCCCGAATCCTGCCTGCATGTCACCTGGCTGTCTGACCCCCACCCCAGGGCAGAGGCTGAGCCCCTCGTGCTCCCTGCTGGTTGTGGCCTCCTTGACCCACCCCTCCCCAGCACAGAGCCTAGTGGCATGGAGAGCTGTGGACTCTGACCCAGTGACCCCACTCTATTCCCAGTGGCCCTCTCACACAGGCAGGGCAATGGCCTCAGTGGCCTTCACGGGCTCCTTAGACCCAATCCTCCTCCCACCCCCACCAACATCCCCAGCACGGCTGACTGGTCCCATCTTCAGCAATTGGCAGGGTTGAGCTGTCACTTCCCAGGGGCTCCTGGCACACAGCATCTCTGGCTGACCTCATTCATGCTCATGTCGGCGTCTGCCTCCCCCACCAGGCAGATGGCAATTCCAGCCAGGGGGTCCTGTTCACTACTGTGTCCCAGGGTCGGGCCTGTGCCCTTACACAGACTAAGCGCTTGCTCCATAATGGTTTTCTGAGTGAAAGAATGAGATGGGGCAGAAAACCCAGGTCGACCATGCCTCCCATCAACCTGTTGGCCCTACAGTGGCAGAGCCGGCCCTAGGCCTCATCATTTGCCACCTGAGGCTGCTGCTTCCATCTCTAGAATGGTGTCCAGGGAGCCAGGACAGCAGCAGGACCCCCATACCTCATGCCTTCCACGTCTGGGGCCACCAGGCGGAGTCCTGCCCTGGGTGTCAGGATCTGCAGGCGGACAATTTCCTCACCTCTTGAGCTGCGGGCCAAAGGAGAGACCCAGTGGGTTGCAGGTGAGAAAAGTCTCCCCCTTCTTGGGCTGGTGAGTGCGGTGGGCCGCCCAGACCCACTGCCCCCTTTTGATGTGCTCTCATCTCCTCCTTGGCCTTGAGCCTTGTTGGTGCTGCAGCTGAGCTCGGGCCACTGACCTGTAGGCCCCTTCCCCGGTCTCCCACCCCTGACCTGAGCCCAGCCCTCCCTCAGGCACAGCAAGGGCCCTTCTGGGTAGAAATGAAACCTCCCAACCCGTGCTTCTACCAACCATTTGCAGGGGCAACCGCAGCCTGTGACCCCACCAGGGTATCCAAAGTGGCCATTTGTGAGGCCAGGGGTAGTTCTGCATTCATGGACTGGTGGGGACTGAGGGGTACGAGAGACTGAGAAAACCCACAGACCAAATATGGAATGAAAACCAGTGGGAGGGGATGTCGCAGACTCGGGGATGAGGACAAAGGGCCCCTTTGAGCTTTCCTCTTGCCAGCCACGCTCAGAGCCCTCCCCCAGATGACCACAGGCCACCCCGGACACACATCCCTCCAAGTCTGATGCATTCTCTGGCCGTACTGCAAGGCATGACGCCCAGCAGGCTTGGCCATGGTGTGGCCAGGGCCAGAGAGAATATAGAGCTCCCAGGCTTTCTGGGGGTGGACCCTTCACCCCAAACCAGACCTCCTTAGGTCCATGGAGCAAAGCCTAATTCCAAGCCACATTGCAGTCACTCCTGCCTTTGTCCCTGGGCCCTGGAAGTGCAGACAAGCCTGAGCCCCAGGCCTGCCCTGGTGAAGCTCTGGGCCCAGCAGGGTCAGGCAGGGGCAGAGAGGCATGGAAACTGACCTTGCTGTGCTGCAGGGCCCAGAACAGGTTTAGCCATGGGAGCAGTGGACAAGCTTCATGGAGGCATAGCCCGACCCAGGCCAGCTGAAGGGAGATCGGGGGAGGAGGAGGAGGTAGAGGCTGGCAGGGGTCCTGAATGTACAGACTAGATCTGGTATGGCAAAGGGAAGATGCAGGATGGGCTTGAAGTGGAGGTGGGGGGTTTATAGGTTCAGACTGGCACTTTAAAGAGGCCACTCAGGGGTCCCAGGAGGGGTAGGGGATGGAGTGGCCAAGGTGAAAGCAAGGAATGAGCCATGGAGGGCTGGGTCAGCGGGCTGCTCATCTCTGTCCCTCCACTTCCACCCTGGCCAGGGCCTGGAGTGCTCAAAGTGACCAGAGGGAAATGGAAGGGCTACCAAGGACAAGGCCTCTCCCATCATGAAAGCCAGGAGGGGCCCTAGACACACAGACAGCTCTGACTTCTCCCCATCTCCTCTCGTGATAACGACGATGACATCGTTGTTGAGGATGATGTCATTTATGATGACAGTATAAAACCCCTGGCTGCCTCATTTAAATCAGGTGGTGCCAGGGAACAGGGATGTCACAGGCAAGCACAACATATTTTCTCACTGGCGTTTCTGGCTCTGTCACAGAGGAAATGGGAACAAAGTGTCACCCCAGCCTGCTCCAGTGACTGATGTCAGACTAGGGCAATGTGGGCAGACACAGAGGGAAGACGGCTGCGCGAAGACAGAGGCCGAGATGGGAGTGAGGCGGGCGCAAGCCAGGAAACACCAAGGATTGCAGGCAACAAAAGGTAAGAGAAAGGTATGGAACAGATTTTCCCCCAGAGCCTTTGGAGGGAGCATGGCCCTTCCGACACCTTGATCTCAGACTTCCAGCCTCCAGAATTGTGAGAGGATAAATGCGTGTGGTTTTAAGCCACTCAGTTTCTGGTACCTTGTTACAGCAGCTCCAGTAAACTAATACAAGGGTCTCTCCTCCCCCACAACCCGCTACCCCACCATCTCCCCAGACTCTCAACCACAGACAGCTCCAGTCCAAGCTGAAGTCCAGGACCACGCTGGAAGGCTGCACACCCTTGGAAGGCACCCAAGGAAGAGAGGCAGGCATCTGCTGAAGCCTGAAGCCCAAAACTGATCACAGCCACCTGTGGGAATGCGACCAACTGTGGCCTGTGCCAAACAGTGTGTGACTCATTCTGCCAAAGAGCGAGGAGGCGGGGATGTGGGGCGAGGGGATACCTCCTTTTCACTGCCTTTGGCCACATTTCCCTCAAATGCCAGCAGGTGGAGATATTGATCTCTTCCTGTATTTGAATAAGGGCCCTGCAGCTCAGCACGCCTATGACTGGGAGCCCCCGAGGATACCAGCACCCAGGCACTGTGGTAAGTACTTCAGGTGCACGATCTCATTTAGCATTTGGGACAGCCTTGGGAAGTAGCTATTACTGCTCTCCCTATTTTATCCACGGGGAAACTGATGCATGGAGAGATGAAGAGACTTGCTCAAGGTCACACAGTCAGTCTGATGCAAAGCCAGGGTTTTGTCCTGTGCCAGAAGCTGTGCTCCTACTCCCTGCTCCCCAGACGCTCTGCCAGGCAGCATGCTGGGCAGAGCCTAGGACCGGGACCCAGGAGGCCATGCCCTGGTCAGGTGAGGCAAGCTTGACCAGTGCTTCGGGTAAAGCAGCCAGGCCTGGGGGCCGAGAAGGGGTGCATGTGTAGAACCAGTTTCTCCAAGAGAGGGTCCCTAAACTGGGTTCAGGTTGCAAGGGGGGCAAGAGTTATGAGGAGCTGACCTTTGCACTGTAGCTAAGGGAAACAGGGCAGGGCAGGGGGTGGGGAGAGGGTAGCCTCGATAGGTCTGTGCCTGGGGACAAGGCTGTGACATTCTCCTCTTCCACTCTGCCACAAACCAGCCTTTTCTGAAGTGCTGCAGGACCCTGAGTTTGATTGAGTCATTGTTCCTCACGGGCTGGGCTTCTCAGACACCAGGCAGATAGGAGCTGGGCCTGGGAGTACTGATGGTGGCTGCTTGGTCCAGTGCAGCACCTAACGTGGTAGGGTCAGAGAAGACGGCCCTCCAGGGTCAGGATCAGCCAGCAGCTTTCCTGGAAGCTGCCTGGGTGAGCTCCAAATATTGAGTGACCAGAATTGGAGGAAAGAACTATCAGAAGCATCAAGCTGAGCCTCCTGTTGGGAGCTTGCCCCGGACCCTGAATCTCTAGCCTTTATTTGTTATGGCAACCTGAGCAAACTTAAAAAGCCACCTTGCAATGACAACCATATGATGGGGATTAAACATCGAAAGGAATTTTGTGGAATAAATGTCAAAGTGCCTTTTAAATCTATAATACAGCACAATCTAATTCTCCTCCATTCTTTCTCTCTTTTTTTTCTTGTTTTAGAGACAGGGTCTTGCTCTGTCACCCAGGCTAGAGTGTAAGGGTGCGGTCACAGCTCATTGCAGCCTCAAACTCCTGGGCTCAGGCAGTCCTCCCACCTCAGCCTCCCAAGTAGCTGGGACTACAGGTGTACATCAATGCTCCCAACTAATTTTTAATTTTTATTTTTTATTTTTTTGTAGAGATGGGGTCTTGCTATGTTACCTAGGTTGGTCTCAAACTCCTGGCTTCAAGCCATCCTCCTGCCTTGGCCTCCCAAAGTGCTGGGATTACGGGCATGAGCCACCATGCCCAGCCTCCTATATTATCTTCTAAAAGGCACCTGAGGCCAAGCGCGGTGGCTCACGCCTGTAATCCCAGCACTTTGGGAGCCTGAGGTGGGCAGATCACAAGGTCAGCAGTTTGAGACCAGCCTGGCCAATATGGTGAAACCCGTCTCTACTAAAAATACAAAAATTAGCCGGGCGTGGTCGCGTGCACCTGTAATCCCAGCTACTCGGGAGGCTGAGGCAGAAGAATCGCTTGAACCCGGGAGGCGGAGGCTGCGGTGAGCCGAGATCACACCACTGTACTCGACAGAGCCTGGGCGACAGAGCGAGACTCCATCTCAAAAACAAACAAAACAAACAAACGAACAAACAGAAAGGCACCTGAAACCATTTATTGCCTTTCTTTAAAAGAGAAATAAGGAGAAATGAGAACTGTATACTGTTATGGGCTGACTTGTGCCACCCAAAATTCATATGTTGAGGTCTTAACTCCCCCATGACCTCAGAATGTTACTGCATTTGGAGATGGGGCCTTTAAAGAAGTGACTAAGTTAAAATACAGTTGTTAGGGTGGGCCCTAATCCAGTTGGACCAATGTCCTTATAAGAAGTGATTAGGGTCTGGGCGCGGTGGCTCATGCCTGCAATCCCAGCACTTTGGGAGGCTAAGGCAGGAGGATCATTTGAGTCCTAGAGTTCCAGACCAGCCTGGGCAACATGGTGAAACCCTGTCTCTACAAAAATTTAAAAAAAAAAAACTAGCTGGGTATGGTGGCCTGTGACTGTAGCCCCAGCTACTCAGGAGGCTAAGGCTGGAGGCTCTCTTGAGCCTGGAAGGTCGAGGCTGCAGTGAGTGGTGACTGTGCCACTGCACTCCAGCCTGGGCGACGGAGTGAGACTCTGTCTCAAAAAAACAGAAGTGATTAGGACGCAGGCACACACAGACAGGGATGAGCATATAAGGGCCCAGGGAGAAGATGGAGTCTACCAGCCAAGGAGAGAGACTCAAGAGGAACCAACCTTGCCGTCACCTTGATCTCACACTTCTAGCCTCCAGAAGTGGGAGATGATACGTTTCTGTGGTTTAAGCGCCCCAGGGTGTGGTACAATACTTTGTTGTGGCAGCCTTTGCCCCCATATCCCTCAATTGCCAAGTCCCCTAGATCAGGGGTCCCCAACCCCAGCCTGAGGATCAGTACCAGTCTGTGGTCTGCTGGGAATCAGGCTGCACAGTAGGAGGTAAGCTAGAGATCATTACTGCCTTAGCTCCGCCTCCTGTCAGATCAGCAGATTCTCATGAGAGCGCGAACCGTATTGTGAACTGCACATGTGAGAGATCTAGATTGTGCGCTCCTTATGAGAATCCGGTGCTTGATGATCTAAGGTGGAACAGTTTCATCCTGAAACCATCCCCTGCTCCGTCCCGTGGAAAAAGTGTCTTTCACGAAACCAATCCCTGGTGCCAAAAAGACTGGGGAGCTCTGCCCTAGATATTGCCTTGTAAAGAATTCTCAAATCTTCCTTTCCACATCTTCTATGGACCAAAGTTCTTATGGGGAGAGTCAGACAACCAGAGAAGATCAAGAGAGGGAGAGAGTGAAAAGGAGAAGCACCCTGGCAGTCTGCTGCCTGGGGCCATGGAGGGAGCTGGCCTCATGCTCCTGGCTCCCTCTGCCAGCATTTCTGTCTCCCTCCCAGACTGAGGAAGTAACCCTGAGGACAGTGGTCACCTGTCTATAAATGGCTGTGGAGCTCAAATTGGGGGATTGCTATGGTATTAGGAGAGCCTGAACAGCCCTTGGGGGCCTGGGAAGTGACCGGTAGGGACAGGCCCTCTCCCCTTCTGGATGCAGGGGTCTTCCAAGGGTGCTACAGAGATGCAGCTCTTAGGAGACCTAGATTTGAGCAAAGGTCTCAATCCAGGCAGGCACTTTAAACAGCAGCAACAGCAGGTGGTGGCTCTCCCTGCAGGACTTAGCACCATTCTGCACAAAGTACAAGAAGGTATTAGTTGTCCACAGACAAGAGAGCACCATTATCTGCCCAGATTCTCAGGGATCAGAAATCAAGACAAATCACGGCCCTTCCTGGAGTGAGATCACCAGTGCTCAGCCTGTCCTTGCCCCATCACCCCACTGCCAGACCCTCCCCAGCTGGCAGAACCAGCCAGCCAGGCTGGCGGGAAGCCATCACACCCACTCACAAGCCAGAGTCAGCTCTCGGCACCCACCTGAGCTCCTGGCTCCCAGCGGGGCTAGGCATACTTGGCAGGCACTCGATCCAAATTGCCCGAGACGCTTTGGTCCTGCCTCCATCCGCACTGGCAAAGAAGGTGGCTGTGAGAGGCTCTGGAGATGTCAGAGCCTCCTCCCTGGGCATGCTGAATGTGGCTAACTTATTGGAGTGCAAGGAGCAAGTCTGACAATGGCATGCTACTGCCATGGTGGCTGGCCCTCTCAAACCCCAAGGATGGTACTTTTTCTTGGGGTGTTCAAGTTGCCACCAGGCTCAGTGGTGCAAGGGTTAAGGTGACACAGATACGTACTCATCAGACCAGAGCCAGGTGCTCTCTCCCGGGGGGCTGGACTGTTTTGCTCCTTTCAGCCCTGGGACATCCAGCCAGATGGGCTCTTACTGATTTCTTTGTCCCGTCTTGTCACTGGGCACATGGGGACACTGATCTCGAAGCCCAGCATGGAGGTGCCCTGACTGAGGTTCCTCAGTGACTGAGTGGCAGGTATGGCAGCCACCAGCCCCAGGCAGAGATGAGCGCAATGGATTACCTGTTTGAGCCAGGAGTGGATCTTGCCAGAGCAGGTGGGTCCTGGCTCTTCTCAGAAGGCCCGTCCTCTTCCACCACCTCCACCCTTTGAGCAAGAAGAGAAACAGCGCTCGTGGTCTTCTTGGCTGCCCTAGAGCTTGGAGGCCTCAAAGAACATGCTTCCAGTGGCGTCTAACTGACCCAACCCTTCAGGATCACGGCCAAGAGGTGGCCCAGGCTGGGGGTTCAGTGACTCCAGCTCAGGATAAGGACAGCATACTGGGTTGAATAGTGTCCCCCCAAAATTCATGTCCCCTGGAACCTGTGACTGTAACCTTATTTGGAAATAGGGTCTTTGCAGATGTAATCAGGTAAGATGAGGTCATACTGGAGTAGGATGGGTCCTAAATCCAATGACCGCTGTCCTTGTAAGAAGAGGGAAATCTGGACACAGACACACAGAGAAGAGAAGGCCATGTGAAGACAGACGCACAGACTGGAGTGATGCAGGTACAAGCCGAGGAACACCAAGGATCACCAACCACCAGCAGAAGCCAGGAGAGTGGCCTGGGATGGTTTCTCCCTCAAAGCCTCCAGAAGGAACCCACCCTGCTAACACCTTGATCTAGACTTCTGGTCTCCAGAACCGGGAGAGAATCCCTTTCTGATGTTTTAAGCCACTCAGTTTTTGGTACTGCGTTACAGAAACCACAGGAACCAAATGCAGCCAGGAAGACCCCCCCACCGCCCCCCGTTCTCTGTCACTTCCTTTGTGCTGCCACCATCCCTGCTCTCTGTATTCCTGCCAACTTCCTGGTCTTCCAACACAGCAAGCTAGTCCCACCCCGGGCCTGTGCACTGGGGCCCTCTGCCTGGGGCAGTTGGCATGCTGTCTTCTCTTGGGTTTGCAGTCCCCAGCTAGCCACCTCAGCACAGAGAGAGGCCTTCCCTGTCCACTCAACTGGAAGTCCCTCAAATTCAAGTTTCCAGAAGTTTCTTTCTTGCTTTCCCCCGAATATTTTCCTCCTCCAGAAGGTGCCCTGTCTCAACTAATGGTGACACCCCTCCCTCATTCAGCTGGAGTATCCCGACGTTCTGATCATTCCCTGTTAAGCCCTGTTCACCCTTTAGGGCCCATCTCCAATGTCACAGTCACCTCCCAGGGGAAGTTCTCCTGATGGCCCAGGTTTTGATCCTGGATGAGAGCAGAAGGCAAGGCATCAGGCAAGCAACAGGGGCAGGGGAACAACTCCCAGAGGGCCTTGGAAATGCTCCACGTTGGGTCAGGGGCCCAGCCCCATTAGCCATTGGCAAATGGAAGAGCTTGACCACATATGCTACCACAGCCACCCAGGTGCTTGCCAGGCCTCCAGACAGAAGCCCCCAGCCCCTCACAACTCCCCCTGCTCAGGGACAGTAGTCCCCCACATCCACATCCCCTCTCCACAGCTCCCACACTACACCCCTGCTGACGGAAGGCCTTCCTGTGGCCAGTAACAGGCCTCCAAGGTGTCCCTTGATGACACTTACCTCTTCGCGATAAACGGTGCCTGTGTCTCCTGGGTAGGACTGCTGGAAAGGAAGCAGAAAGGCAATGCTTTGGGCAGAGCCCGTGGGCAGGTGACATCAAGACCGCTCTACCTCAGAGGGTCCTGGGCCCTCTCCATTCCCGGCACTTCACTGTCCCTGGTGGTAGCCGCCAGACCTCTCCATTTTCTAGAAAGTACATCTGAGAATCTGAGAAGGCTCAGCTAGGAAGGCCCTTGGGGGTGATCTCTCCACCCACCCTTTCATCAGCCAGAGAAGGCTGGAGCTCTGAGGAGAGGAGAGCTGTCCTAGAGCCTGGAGCCAGTTGGTGGCAACTCACCCAGTGCTCTTCTTGGCCGCTGACAGGACGTAGGAGTGCTCCCGGGGAGCTGTCCTCCTCAGAACACCGCTTGCAGCCTCTGACCTGGGGTGACACGGGATGGGGGAGCATCTGATGGGTGCCAAGCTGGACATGCTCTGCCAGCCTAGCCTGGGATGGACTCGGGGTGACTTAGGGCCACCCCAGGGAGGCAAGGGGTGAGAGAAACCAGATTTGCACCTGCTCCAAGGACTATTCAAAGGAAATGTAGAACCTGAAGGAAGGGCAGCCCATGTTTATGGAGCATGTGGCATGTGCCCGGCTCTGCGCCAGATGCCAACATCCTCGCATTGGCTTATTGCTCTTCTCAATCCAGGAAAGTAGACGCTAGTATCCTCTGTGATTTACAGATGAGGAAACTGAGTCCAAGAAGCTTTCATTATTTGCCCAAGAGCACTCACCTAGCAGGTGGCAGAGCTGGCATTCAATGCTAGGCAGCTCCTAGCTTCTGGCTCTTTTCCTTGCTCCACCCAGGCCTGGGGGCCCCTGCCACTGTGAACTGTTCCCTGAGGATAGCCAATCTGCCAGGGCCTTTGGCAATGGGGCTTTGCTGTGATTCCTGCGCCACAGATGGGTCAGCAGATATGGACCTGGTGGCTGGCTGAGCCCAGGGAGGGGAGGGCTTTATTTCCTCAGGGCCCAACTGCTGTACAGGCCCCAAGCCAAAGGCATACAAAAGGTGCTTAACAAACCCTTCCTGTCATAGTTCACCAGCACTGGGTGGTATGTGGTCAGTCCCCATGGACAGAGGACTGAGGAGGGGCAAGGGTCCATGGAACTTTGCTGGCCTGTGTGGACGAGGGCAGCTTGGCGCAGAGACTAGGGTAGAATTTCAGCAGCATGGGGCACACTCCCACTGCTGTGCATGCCTGGAGCTCAGTTTGGGGTCCGGGGCATTCAGAACCCCCAAGGCATGCAGATCATGCAGATAGAGGGCACTGTGCAGGTGGCTTCTCCCTGAATATTTTTGTTCAACTGTCTCAGGGCCCTTTCTAACAAACCGATTTAGAGCCCTGAAGAGCCTCCACATGAGGAGGCTTTTCCCCGGACCCACATTACCTAGGTTCTACCCCACAGAAGGTTCTCAAGGGCCCCTCAGCTGGTCCAACACTGAGTGGGTGGTTCTGGCACTCAGAGAATGACACCTATTCTCATGCTCCGTGGGCTACCGCTGATGGCCTACGTGTTGTGCATTTTGTCACCCCAACCAGTACAATTCATTCCAGCAGTCTTCGAAGACTCAGGCTCCTGCCCTGCCCCCCGGGATGCCCAAAAGGCACCATTCCATTACCTCCGTTTCTGTTCATCTGAGGAGAATGGCACCACCTCCTCCTCCTCCTCCTCCTCGGTGTCCCCTGATGTAGAGCTGCGCCTGATATTGTAGGGTGCCCTAAGAGAGGGGAGAGGCGCTTTCCTGTCATAGGCTGCCACCCTCAGCAGCTTGGCTTCCTGGCTTTCAACAACAATGACGAGGCAAGTCAATATCTCTGCCTTTGGGCCTTAGGTCATGCCACTTGTTCCTCCCTGAGACCAGCTCTCCCCTCCCTCCCTGTTCGAGCCTCTCCCCTTCCCCAGAAAGGTTACCCAGCAGCTCCCCAACCCTGGATGATGGAGGCAAGGGACAAACAACGGAAAGATGTGGTCCCCTGGGAACTAGAGACACAATTCACACCTCTGTCCAGAGAACCCTCCTCCCTGAGCATGCAGTGGGGGGTGGGGGGCTTTGAAAGGGACCCCAAGGGGAGCACTAAGGGAAAACCCGAAGGTTTCTATCCAAGAAGCAGCTCAGATTTAGGCACACAATGCTCAGACTGACAGCAGCACCCTGAGGATCCCCAGGCCCCCAGCCCAGTGCAGCCAGGCAGAGCACCTGAGGCTCGGCCGGGTGCAGGGCCAAGCCCAGGAAGCACAGCCAGCCAGCAGCAGCCTCACGACCCATGACCCTTTCCCCAGATCCGTGGGGCCCCTCCTACAAGCTTCCTGCGGTCTCCGCTCTGCCTCGGATCAGACGTGCAATGTGCACAGCCATCCAGTTTTCTGGGGCTTGTTACCCTCTGGTGGGCTCCAGGCCACAGCTGCAACTGGCAGGGAGTGTCAGGCAGGCGGGACTTCCCGGGCTGTGCTCGGTGGCAAGTAGTCAGCTGCCTTCAGTGGACCCAGAGTTTGGACTTGTTCCTTGGAGGAGGGAACCACGCTGAGCCTGGCGTTGCATACTCACAGCTTCTTGTAATCCTCAGTGGTCATCTTGTAGCCAGAGGAGGAGGGGCGGGGAGGACCAGCGTTAGCTGTTCTCACCAGACTGGCAGCACTAGAGAGGAGAAGGTTCCATGTGTCTACCTGCAGGCTCCCTCCTGCCTCCAGATTTGGCCACACAGCCCAGTGGACACATGAGAGGTGGACCAGGAGCTGCCTGGGAGCCTTTCCTCTTTGCTTTTGGCCCTGACAGACACCCGGAACTGCGCCACTCAGAGCAGCTGTGTAGGCAAACCCCACCGAGCTTCAGGGAACAGCCCAGCGGGCTCTTGCCTGTGTCTTTGCTTCCTGTTTCCGGGTCCCCTTGGCCTTTCCAGTCTGACGGAGTCCCAGGCAATGCCTGATGCCAAGGTGCTTGAATTGCATGCAACTTCAGCCTTCTCAATGCCATCAGCAAGTCAAGTCAAGGGTGCCCACTGCCAGGCTAGGGGGACTCTACACCCAGCCCCTCCCAAACTCCTGCACCTCTCTGTCCCATTAGCCAGGCCTAGTCAGGACTGACCCCAGGACAAGGACACTGTTAGTGGCCCAGGACCTCCCAGAGACCCACACATCCACTTGGGACTGCCAGTCCCACCCCAGCCCATCTCCTCTGGTCACCCCACCCTGCTCTCCAGGGTCCTGCCCTACCCAGGATGAAAGCTGGCACCTCCAAGGCCCCACAGTCCTGATAGGCAGAGCACTGTCTCTGCCAGGAGCCCAGACCAGGCCCTCACACCTCCCCACTGGCCGACTGGCCAACACCCCATGGACATACCTTTTTGGAGTCCCGTTGGCCTTGGGGAACTGCTGCTGGGGCTGGGAAGAGCTGTCTATGGGCTTGGTGAACACTCCCCTGAAAGAGAGCCCAGGAGATGCCGGTGAGCTCCCTGGAGGGACTGGAGGGGTAAGAAGTCAGGGCTTGGCGTGAGTGGGCACAGGAAGGCCGGCAGAGTCCTGCGGTCACTTACCGGATGATGTAGCCAGTGGGAGCCCTTGTGCTCGGAGGCCTGCCGAAGAGAAGAAGGGGTGGAGTGAAGCGAGGCTTGCTGGAGGGCTGAGGTCATCCTACTTTATCCTGCCCTTAACGATAGCAAATAAGATTGGCTGGCAAGTGCTCCAGGTGTCCCAGTACAGCAGAAACGAGGGGTGCCAGCCCCCTGTGCCCCTGATCAGGTGCCCGCTATGCTCTGCCTATTTCCCTCATGCTCCCCCAGGAAAAGTGCCCCAGGTGACTCCTCATGGCAGGTGCCTAGGAAGGCAGCTTGATGGCCTCTCCAAAGTCCAGCTTCTCCTTGGCCAGCCAGTTCCCAGTGCTGCGCCGACGGAGCACTGCTCTCAGCTGACAGCCCTCCCATCCTCTGTGCTTGGGGCTGAACCAGTGCAAGCTGGAGGCTCCCCAGTCAGAGCCAGAGGCTTCCCCTCAGCCCGGGGTCTGACCTGATCTCCCTCAACAGCCTCCACCAGGAAGGTGCATGAGGGCTTGAAGGGGAGAGCCCAGGCAGCAGCCAGCCGAAGCCAGCTGTCCCCCTTCCTGTCCCTCGGGGCCCTCTTTGCTCCAGCTCCTTGCATGCCCACACCCCAAGTCTTGGTGGAAGTTTGAGACGAGAGGGCGCGGCCAGGCCTTGTTCAGCGGCTGGGAAACATTAGGCTCTGGGTGCTTGGGACCTCCTGCTTGGCAGCAACTGAGGGGGCTCAGATAACTCAGGGGGCAGCCAAGACGAGCGGGCAGGGAGCTGACAGCCAGGGGTGGTCAGCCTGGAAGTTCTGGCCTCCGGGCAGGAGTTAGGGGCCCCTGCAAAGAGTCCTCCTCAGAGTTAGGGGAGGAGTCAAGGGGTCAGGGTAGACCCTTCTGTCCTGCAGTGGAGGGGATGTGGGCTGGAGCATCGGGGTTTGGGTCAAGGGCAACACAGAGCCTCCGGTAGTCTCCAACCCCACAATCTCCATCTCTAACAGGGGACAGCCTCCCAGAGGTGGCCATGTTGCAGGCACACTTGGGGGTTCTCGCTTTTGTATTGAACTGTTTACTAGGGTCCTGCCTGAGTCCCCTGCTGGGACGTCAGTTGCCCAAAGACAGGGCCTTTGTCTTGACCACTCCTGCATCCTCTGTGCCCAGCATGGGACCTGGCAGGTAGTGGGCGCTGAGTCATCGAGGGGTGACAGAGAGACCGTAGTTACTAAAGGTAGCCCTGTGTGCTGGCTGTAAACTTGAGGCCCTCCCTTCCAGAGGCCGCCACTGCCTCTACCACCCCCTGAGAAGCCGCCTGCCGGCTGTTTGGAGCAAGGAGCGAGCCTGAATTTCAGTTCCCTTTCTCTGTCAGGAGCAGTTCCTCCAGAGGCCAGCAGGGTGTGCCCACGCTTCAGAGCCCCCCTAGACACTGTTATGGAAAAGCCCCCAAAAGAGAGAGAAGCCAGTTCTCCTTGGTCAGCTGACAAAATATGTCACGGTAAACTTGGGAGACAGTCAGAGCAAACTCGTGCCTCTCTACAGGCATGCTGAGTCCCAAGTACACTCAAGCAGTCAGGGTGACCTGCAGGAGTGAGTCACTGTGACTCTGGAAGCTGCCCAAAGCATCTCAGAGGCAGTATCACTCCCTGCAGGGAATGGGTGGGAGGTCGTCTTCTTCTTAAAGACAATTTCAATCCCAGTTAACAGCTGGAGCCACGGAGGCCCAGCAGGGAAGTCAGCTGCCCCACAGCCACACAGCCAGGCCAAGGGCCTGGACCAAGTGACTCCTACACTCCCCTTCCCAAAAGGAAGGTGCAGTGGAGAAGCCCCTCCTTCCTGCAGATTTCAAATTACTCATTGCAGACCCTTGGCTGGGGCTGCATCCCTGTCCCCTGTGGACTGCCCACCCCTCCCTGTTGAGGGCTGGCCCCAAGCTGCAGGAGAGTCCCTGGGGCTGACCCACCAGCCACCTGAGCACCACCTCTTACCTAGGCTTCGGAACCTCCCCAGCTGATGAAAAGGATGTGGCGCGACTCCGGCCTGAGGGCAGCTCTCTGGGGGAAAGAGGCATCCTGAAGGATTGGCTCCGAGACTCCCTGTCACCTGCCATCCTGTGGCCTCCATCCTAGAGGCTGCCCAGCAAGTCCTGCCATTTCTGCCACACATTCTCCTTCCCAGGCACCCAGGGGCTCTCCCACCCTGTGACATTGCTGGATAGCCTTTCCCACGCTCTGCCCTCCACATGGCCTGGCGGAGCTCTGAATGGTGGAAGCCCCTTCGCATCCCCAGGTATGGTCGGTCCCCCACGGATTGCGCGCCCCCACGTTGCTGCGGTCCCTCCCCGCCTCCTTGCCTTACATGGTGCGACCCTCCGATTCATCCTGCTTGGTAATCCAGCTCTTGTCCCCCTTCAGCGTGGTTCGCACTTTCATCTGCTTGAGAACGTTATTGCGCTCCTCCTCGCCTGGTGGCAGAGGCTTCCCTGTGGTGGGAAAAGCCAACCGCCTCAGAAGAGGAATGCAGCCCCAGGACCCTCGACCTCCTTTCCAGTTCTCCCAGTATGCTGCTCTCCCTTTGCTGCTGGGACAGTGCTTGTGGCCTGTAGGGGCAGGCTTGGAAGCAAACAGCCCCAAACAGAGCCTGGGAAACCAGGGAGCCCAGGCCTCACCTTTGGTGCGGCCTCCAAGAGCTGAGATACTCATGGTGATTGCTCCGCAGCTCTCCTCTCACTTGATTCAGCAGGGCTTCTGGGGATAAAGGTAAGCAAATGCTGTCACTTCATGCATTTGTAGTGTCTTGCAGGTGACCATATGGGTCCTGGTACACCAAGATCATCCAGACTGCCCTCTGCACATCGGGGGTGGCAAGCGTTGGTGGAGTGCTAAGTATGGGCAGAAGCCAGGGGGCCAGCACTCACTGTACCTGCTGCTGCCCAGCGGCACACCCACCTGCCTGCCCAGGGCTGCTCACCTAGAGAATGTGGAGCTCAGGGGCTGCCAGGGACTGTCTGTTCAAAGCGATCACTGATAACGGGAGAACATGAGCCCTCCTACAGAGTGCTAACAGCCTGGCTCAGGCTGGGGGGTGTGGGGAAGACAGCTGGCACTGGTGGACTCAGAGGGTGGGAGAGAGTGCATCCAAAGCCGAACAGCTTCAGGGCAGGCAGATGGCCTGTGGAGAGGGACGGGCTGGGGGACCAGCTGCTTTGGGGTTGGACCTTGCTTCTCACCCCTTAGGAGTTTTCTGACAGACCTTGGGCAGGTCAGCTAACCTCTCCGAGCTGCCTCAGTTTCATCATTTGTAAAATGATAGTTAAAAAAAAAATTCTACCTTTCAGGACTGCTGTGAGGATGGAATGCGCCGATGCTCCTATAAGTACCCGGCACCACCTGAAAAGGAGCCAAGCAGCAGTAGCTCTCAAGTCATCTGCTAGGAGAGGCGCGGTGGTCCTCAAACAGCGCCAAGAATGGTCTGGGGTGTGCAGCCCTGTTTCCTTCGGGGGTTGGCTCCACCTTCAGTGGGGAAAGCCCAGGGCCCCACTGCCAAATCCTAGTGGCCCTCAGGGAACAGGCGAGTGTGGCAATGTGGTAAGTTAGGCTTCCTTACGCCCTGGCCCACAGCTGCCTTGAGCTCTGCTTCCTCTTCCTCTGTGTCTTCTCGCCCTGCTCTACCCCTGAGCCCGGTGCTGCTCATGCTGCCCAGACGGTGCCACACTGCCTTCAGCCTCTCTGCCCTTGAGCCCAGTGCTGCCCTCTCGTGCCCATGAGGGGTGAGCTGTGGTGGTCTCGAGGGCCATTTGCTCCGGAGAAGGGCCCAGGGTGATGAAGCTGGCTCTCCAGGCTGGGAGCGACCCAGAGCTGCAGGGAGCCCTGAGTGGCCACAGCCGAACCCTTGGGCCTCAAAATAGGGGCTGGGGGCTCAGGCTTGTGGGCATGACAGGAAGCAGGGCCCTGGTTGTGCTGGCATAGTCACAAAGCAGAAGAGCCTTTCTCTCCAGGGCCTTTCATCCCCTGGGCCCCTCCAGGGCTAGGGTCTGACCAGCTCAGCACTGCTGCCAGCTGGCAGGGCCTGGATGTGTTTCTGTGGAGGTCAGGGGCACACTCAAATGGGCAGGGCAGGGGGACGAGAGCAAACCAAATTTGCCACATCAGCAAGAGCTGGCTCTTCCATAAACTGCACTGAACGAGCAGCCCAGACAGCCCGAGCCTGCTGTGTGCCAGGAATGGCACCTCATCACTGCAAATGGGAGCCCCGCGTGCCCAGCCCTGCACCAAAGCTGCCACGTTAGAGTTCTGTTGAGTGGCGCTCACTCCACAGGTGTTCCTAGGGCCATACAGGCCTAACTGTCCCCATCCCAGCAACCTGTGGAGTGGCCCCATGGGCAGGGCACATGTGCAGAGTCTCTGGGTGCCACTGACTGACTACAGACCTTGGGACAGTTCCTCACTTCATCTGGGCCTCAGCTTTTCACCTGCAGGAGGACCTCCTAGTCTTTCGTCTTTAGGTTCCTTCTAACCTTGCTAGGCTGTACTAGCTAGTATGACTTATTTTGCGCTGGGCACCTCAAAGACGTACTCCTTTCTAAGGCCTCAGGGACTGTAGCCACCAGCTTCCACATATGAGCGTGGCAAGCAGGTGACGGTCATCCACAGTTTCGGGGGTGGACTCCATCCCAGGCCCAGTACCAGGCACAAGGACTCATCAGTTACCCCTTGTCAAACCTGATGGCCACATTGCCTAGAAGTTTCCTGCCAAATCAGGACCAAATAAGCCACTTCCAAAGTCAAGACAGACACTTTTGCACATGCAGAATGACAGAGGCAGAGGGACCCATGGCAAAGGAGGGCAGGGCTGGGTGGGAACACCATCCGTCCCCTGCAGAGGGCACCATGCTGCCTTCAGTCCCGTCTTTATAGCTGAGACTCCAGTCAGAAGACTCCGGGTTTATTGCCAGACAAAGACCAGGGCTGGTGCTTCTGCATGGGCTCCTTTCCCTCACGCCTGGCTGAGTCTCACAAGTGAAATTTCTTTTTTGATGAGACAATAAATATGAAAGAGTCAGAAAAATCTCTGCCAAAGTAGAGTCTTTCCACACGATGAAGTGTAAGGCAGTTCTTTGGGACAAGGAGCCTTTAAAGTGATGAGTGTCAGGCAGTGGGATGGGGTGGGATGGGATGGGTGGGATGGATGGGATGGATGGGATGGGATAGACGGATCAGATGGGATAGATGGGATGGATGGGATGGGATGGATGGGATGGGATGGACGGATCAGATGGGATGGATGGGATGGGATGGGATGAATGGGATGGGATGGGATGGATGGGATGGATGGATGGAATGGGATGGGATGGGATGGATGGGATGGGATGGATGGATGGAATGGGATGGGATGGATGGGATGGGATGGGATGGGATGAGATGGATGGGATGGGATGGGATGGGATGGATGTGATGGGATGGGATGGGATGGGATGGGATGGGATGGATGGGATGGGATGAGATGTAGTGGGGTGGGATGGGAGGGATGGGATGGGATGGGATGGGATGGGATGGGATGGGATGGGGCGGGGTGGGGTGGGTGGGGTGGGCAAATGAGGTTGGAATCTACATCCCATCTACAGAGCTGACTTCTCCCTCCAATTTGCCCTGGTCTAGGCCACGATCCCTTGAGACCTCCTCCCTGGTCCCTGGCCTGCTGCCTTTATCTGCACCTCCTCCAGGCAACACTCATTGGTCTCTAATCCCACTTGGCCCACATCAGCCTTCAATTCTCAGTCAGCACCTGATGGTTCCACACTGTTTCTAAGACTGGGAGCAAAATCACCAGTCCCCTGAGCCAGCCTCTTTCCCCCCAATGCCGACACTGTGCTCCAAGCAGACCATGTGCCTTGGAGTCCCTGGAAGGTAGCCCTGCCAAGTGAATGCCTGTGCCTTAGCTTATACTGGTCCGCCCACCTGAAATGCCCTTCCAACTTCCGCCGAGCTAAGCCCTGCTTCTCCCTCAGGGCCCGGCACGTCGAGGCCAGCCCTGCTCCTACTGGGTGCTCCCCTCCCCTAACTCCCACAGCCAGGCACAGACCTGCAGATCCAAGTCTTCCCAGGCAAGCCCTGCTCCTCCCCCAACCTCAGCAAGGACCAAGCCCAGGCACCCTGTGACAGCCCAGCACACCCCACCAGGGAGTGATTGCCTGAAGCCACCTACCCCTGCTCGGACCCAGGTCTCCTCCCAGATCCACCGTCCCCTCCCCTTGTCCAGCCCTTCACAGAGAGCAGGGCAGAGTGGCCCTCCACTCAGTGACAGCCAGGAAGACCCTTGCTACGGATGTAAGCAGCCTTGAAGGATGGAATGTGGACCCCTCCAGAGGTGGCTTCCTGGTGGCTCTTGTGGGAAGGGAAACCAGGAATCTCGACAGAATGAGTTTCTGTATGTATCAAAAGGCTTAAGGGCAGGCCTGCTGGTCCAGTAATTCCCCTCGCAGCCAAGTAGCCTGAGGAAGAAATTGCACGAGTACAGCAAAGATGTATATGAAACAGGTGTCATCACAGTGTTGAGTATGGGGGTGAAAATGTGGCAATAATCTACATGCCCATCAATCATATTTAAACATATTGTAATCTATCCATTCAAGCAAATACTATGCAGCTATTACAAATCATACTGAGACATGTAGTATTTAACATGCTTTATAAACCTGTATTGTGTACAGTTTCTATACATCACTCAGTGAAAAGCAGCCCGTAAAGCAGGATGTGTATGATGGTGTCATCTAAGTCAAAATATATTTACATAAAAATGCACAGGGGAAAAAATCTGTAAAGATATACACCAAAATATTTTGCTCCTTTGTGTATTTCTAATTTTCCTGTCATGAACGTGTATCTTCTGTGTGCTAAAGATGAGCCCGACGGTGGTTTACCCAAATGAAGTGCGAGTGGAGTATGCTTGAGCAGCCAAGGGATTAGTCTCAAGAGTTGATACCAGGGCCGGACGTGGTGGCTCATGCCTGTAATCCCAGCATTGTGGGAGGCCAAGGTGGGTGGATCACCTGAGGTCAGGAGTTCAAGACCAGCCTAGCCGACATGGGGAAACTCCATCTCTACTAAAAATACAAAAATTAACCAGGCATGGTGGCATGTGCCTGTAATACCAGCTACTTGGGAGGCTGAGGTAGGAAAATTGCTTGAACCTGGGAGGCGGAGGTTGCAGTGAGCTGAGATCGCATCACTACACTCCAGCCTGGGCAGCAGAGTGAGACTCCATCTCAAAAAAAAAAAAAAAAAAAAAGAGTTGATGCCAGGCAAGCAGTGCCTAGGAAGGATGGGAGGTGAGGAGAATGAACAGATGCAGGGACTTCTCTTGCTTGCTCACTCCGAGGAGGAAATCCCCACAGCAGCAAGGGCAGGCCCTCAGCCTCTGGGGCCCAGCTGTGCTGTGCACTGCTTTGGGCCACGCAGTGCTGCAGCCTGGGCCTCTTCCCGGGGCCTCCTTCGTCTTTTCCCACAAGCTGGGGTGGAGAAGGAAGCGGAGAGCAGGCAGGGGTGTTTCGGGCCGGATGCCAGACAGAGGTTGCTGCAGCGGCAGTGGCAGTGGCGGTGGCACCCCTGGAAGCAGGAGGCCGGCTTCTCCGTTCACACATGTACGGGGCCCAGGGAAGAGATGACGGGACAGGAGGGCACATGAGGCCCACTGATGGCTCCTCTCCCACCCCACGCAATCCCGCCCTGGCTCCCCAGCCCATGGCAAGTCAGCCAGAGGGACCTCCACAGAAAGCAAAGTACTCCAGGGGGCAAGGACAACTCCCTGCTCACGAGGCTCACGTCCAGAATATCTGAAGAGCCTGGTACAGGGACCGGTTATGGCTCAGGTGTGGACATGCGATGCCTATGTCTGCTTTCATATGGGTGGCAGCAGGGGGTGGGGGGAAAGGCCCAGTCTACCCAGGGAGAGAGCACCCACCACAGAGGCCTGGCAGATAAACCCTCTGGCCACCATGGCTGCTGCCCCAGGGCCACCCTCAGCTCTCCGCTCTCCGGGGCAGTCATTAGCGGATGTGAACCCCATTTGGGAAGCCAGTGAAGCCTCCAGAGCCTGTGTGCAGGACTCCAGCCCTCCCCAGGGCTGCACCCAGGTCCCAGCAAAGCGGCCAGAAGACCCAACCACTGGGACAGTGGCCTGGGCTCCGCTCTGCGATGAGAACCATGCCGTCCTCTGGGAAGCAATAACAACACTGGCTTCCCTTGCTGGAGCACCACCCCTGTGTCAGGCGGGCACCCTGCATGCACACTCCTGGGATCAGGTCTCAGAAGGCCAGCAGTACCGTGTGCAGCCCACGCACAAGAGCTGTGCCAATGCTCCTGCTTCCCCTTCAGCAGAGTCAGCCAGGAGTGGGCCCGTGTCTGGCCCTGGCCACACTCCCAGGGCTCTGAGTCCCAGCCACGCAGTGGCCCAGGTAAGCCCATGCACGACGGCCTCGAGTGCTCCTGGGGCACACCCACTGCCAGTCGCCTCTATGGCTTCCTCCAAACCGCTGGGCCCCAGCAGCAATGCTCACCCGCTGGAGGGAGGAGACACTTCAGACTCACCCAGCTGCACCGTGCCTGCCTGTGCTGCTCGGCCTGATGCAGCCACAGAGGCCTGCCACATGTGACTCCAGGACCCCACGGAGCAGGCCACCCACTCCCGCAGCCCTACACTCTCACTCTCCATCTGAGTCCAGTATGTCAAGCTCTCTCATGCCTCTGGGCTTGTGCCTGAGAAAGACTCAGAAAAAGTTCCTGAAGAAAAAGAAACTGCTGTAACTGGGGTTCCCTGCACCTTCCCATTTACCCTGCCAAGAAGATGGAGAGCAAATGTTCCTTCCTTAGCCACCTTTGAAAGTGGTGCCAGGGGCTTGCTACCTGCCCAAGTCTTCCAGTCTTCCTCTTCCTCTGCGAACTCAGGCTTCTTTCAAAGTCCATTAGCCCTGACACCCAGAGAGGCCACACAACCCAAAAGCAAACACTGTCCCCATGGGCTGTGGCCTGTGCTTACATCTCTGCTCCTCTTCCCTAAGTGGCCTCACATGGCTGTGACATCCCACTCTCCGAGTCTAGGTCTCCTCATCTGTAAGGTGGCATCTGTGGGCCTGCTCACTGGGTCTCTTCCTGACAGGATACACCAAGCTAGAACATGTGCCTCTCTGGATCTCTCATGCCATGACACGGGTGTCTTGATGGCCTGTGTGGGCACATTTCTGGTCAGGACAGCCACTCTAGGCCTTTTCAGTACCATGGCCCTCATTTCTACCTTGATTTGGAGAAGACTTCTGGTTTTTTGGAAATCTCCATATCATCCTGCTTAGGACCTGGCCTGGGCCACCAAAGGAATGGTTGGCTTTTCTGACACCCTCTGCATGAACTGTCCCTCGTGGTGCACCCCCGAAGCCCCACAAGATGTGGCCACACTCCACAGTACCCCTCTCTGTGCTGACTCTGAGCAAAGCCCCGTACTCAGGCAACACCAGCCTGTCCCAGGGCAGTTCAGGGCCAAGTCCAACTCCTCTTGCACAGGCCAGGCCACCTCAGACACCAGGCAGATGCCCCGGCCCGCCCTTCATCCCCTTCTTTCTCCCTCTTCCTGTCTCTGGCCAAGTGGGCTGAGAGATGGCAATCTGAGGAAGTGTCCCTGGCAGGGCTGGGCGGGGGAGATGAGGACAGGCCTTCCCTGAATTCAGATGGCCTCCAAATGCCCATGGGCATGTTCCTGCTCTACCTTTCTCCCTGCCTCTGTGGCCTCTGAAGGTTGCCCAGCAACCTCGAAGGAAGGGGCCCCTGGCCCTGATTGGATAGATAGGAGCGAGGAGCCAATGAGGTGGCTGAACAGAGCCTGTTATCCCGACCACAGCAAGCCTGGTGTCATCAGCGAGTGGAGTGAGAGGGGAGCTGACGCAGGGGGCTGATGCATGCAGATTCCCGTGCGCTGGAGGAGCGGGGGCGGCAGCAGGCAATGACGCAGGTGCTGGAGCGTGAGGAGATGGACACAGACGGGAGCGGCAGGAGAAAAGACTCCCTCTCACACCACAGGACGTGCTCAGCCTCCAAGATGAGAGGACTAACTCAGAGAAAGTTTTGTAGAACTTCCCCGCTGCCTGACTCCCCGAGGGCGGCACCTCCCAGAGAAGCTGGCTCGCAGGGGATTAGGATGGCTCCCAAACTGTGCAGAAGGGAAGTAGGACGCCAGGCAGGGCCTCCTAAGCAAACTGGGAGGGCAAGGGAGCAAAACGCCTTCAGCCTTGCCTTCCCGGAGCACTGAATATCGCTGCTCATGGATGAGATGCAGCCAGAGGGCACAGGTGTCAGGGCTTGTCTCAGTGCATGTGTGCTGGGCACTGGGCGCCATGCACAAGCAGGAGCAGGTGTGCCACAGGCAGAGGTGCAAGCAGAAGGGCTTCTTTCCCAAAGGTGAATTGGGATGCTTTGCATCCAGGAGCTGAGCAGACACCCAGCTCTGCCACCCCACGTGTGCCAACCTCAGCTAGGCTCACAGGGATCACTCACAGCTCAGATCTGTGTGGACCCCTTTGGGGTGGGTCAGGAGTCAGCATAAAGAAACAGCTGGACAGGGCAAGAAGGGGGACACAGCCCAGAGTGCTGCCCCTGCAGTCAAGTACAGGGACCAAATATGGATCTGTCAAGTACAAGTGGATGAAGCCATCAAGACTTGGGCTGCCCACTGCAGAGGCTGATTGCTATGTTTTAGGAAACCTCTGGCTGTGTTTCAGGAAAGCTCTGTCTGCAAGCACTTTCACGTGGCTCTGGGACAAGGAGCTTTAATGGAGGCAGAGGCCCAGAATATAGCTGGGGACCAGCACATAGGCCTGCCCCCATCACTCCAGCAGAAACATAAGTACTCCCATCTGGTCATGAGGTAAGTGGTGAAGGGATAACTCCCTTGTCTCCCAAGAACTTGCTCCTAGAGATGGGCGGACCCAGGCAGTGCTGATCCCTCAGCTTAGATACCTGCTGGGGCTCATGCCTGCTGGAACCCTCAGAGAAGATGGCTGGTCTCTGGGAAGGAGACTCATCCCAGCTTTGCTGCCCTGGGCAAATCCTTTCTCCCCTCATGGTGTCTGGGTTCCCTACCACTCGATAAGGGTGGCAATGACCAAACCATGGAAAAACACATGTGCAAGGGTGACCCCAGCTGCTACACCTTTCCCCCCAGTCCTCCTACAAGAGCCAGAGTTGGGCTTTACAAACCCAAGGCTCCAGGCTGCCCAAGCCCCAGAGCCCAGCCAGCCCAGGTAGCTCCCCTGGAGGGGAGTCCCTGGAGGGGAGGGACTCTGGAGGGGAGTCCCTGGAGGGGAGGGGAGTCCCCTGGAGGGGAGTCCCTCCACCCCTCCATTCTGGTCCAACTCAACCTGGGGACCACCAGCACCAGCACCAAGGGGTGAGAGGGAGGCAGTTCCCTCCCAGGCTGTGACCCCGCCCCCCCCCCAAGCCTGTCTGACAGCTTCATTTGCTGGAGGGCTTGCCTTGGTAAAATAGGGGTGGAGGTCAAATTCTGCATAGGGTGGGGGTGTCGAGGCTCCTGTCCATTTCTCACTGTAAATGTTCCATTTGGGCAAAGAGCCTCCACTGGACCTAGTGTCAGGAAAAAGACTCAAAGAAAAGTCCCCATGTCTTAGGTCCTCTTTTGCTGTCTTTCGAGCAAATGCCTGTGAGCTCTGAGTAAGGGCCCTCCCACGAAAGACCCTTCACAAACCCCTCGCAGTGTCATGAGCTGCCCCAGGAACAGGGCGGTCTGGGTGACCAGGAGAAGGGCGACACTGAGATAGTCAGAGCTGGCTTGCTAGGGAATGCAGCCTGCTAAACAAGGGGCAGCAGGTGGCTTCTCCCAGCCCATTCTCCTTCCTTAGAGAGCTTCCCTCTCTGCGGCCAGACTGCAGCCCTGAGCCAGATGGGGCAGCAGAAACAGATGCTGAGAGGGTAGTAGGGGCATGACATGTTCAGGAGGCCCCGGCGCAGAGCCAGCCATGCCTTATCATCTGTCATGTCATGAGACGGGCACAGCGGTGCCGTCAGAGATGTGGAGGGCTTGGTCAAGGCCACAAAGCCACACATCCATGCTGGCTCTTCCAACTCTGGAGCAAAGGAAGGAGTACTGACGAGGAGTCCAAGGACCTGGGTTTTAGTCACTGGACGCGTCACTCACCCTCCCTGACCTTCACTTCTAAACTTTGAGGTAAAAGAGAATGCTCTGTGCCCATGGGAGGGGGAATGGGCTTAAGGAAGCCCCATTCTCAAAATGCTCCCTGGCCCCTGCACCTGGTCGTGTGAGGAAGGTGTAGGCTTCAGTGCAGCCCCTCCGGTCATCACCAAGGCCACAGGACCCCAAGCAATGATACTTCCCGGGGAGGGGGCTAAGGTCAAAAGCCTAGCGCAGTGGGGAGAGCCTTGGCTGTGGCACAGACTCCCCCTGGAGGCTGCCATGGGAAGTGCAAGGACAAGCCTGAGGAATTATAAAGTCAGGAAGCACCACCTCCACCCCCACTCAGATGCCCTCACCCCGTCCTTTCTCAAGGCACGCACTTGGCTGACTCAGTTTGGACCCAGGCTGATTTAAGCCGGTGCGGGTGCTGATTTTCTGGACCAAAAGGGTTGGAATGATGAAACGTTCCATTTGATGAAGCAGCCTCCTGTGGCCAGGTCTGGTGAATCAGGACATTCTGATTCCCAGTCTCCTGCACTGGAGTCTCAGCAGCTGGCAAGGCAACAGTCAGCAGACAGGTTGCTTTCCTCTGGGAAGGGGATGGAGCAGGCACCGCCACAGGCACCGCTGCAGCGGCTGTAGCTGCTGTTCCAGGAGTTGCTGAGATCCAGGGGGATGGGGCACTTCAACGGTGATTTAGGGACCGTGGGCAGGGCTGAGCAGCTGGATCCCGTCTGAGCCTCCTAGTCTGCTGCTCAGCGTGCAGCTCCCAGGAGGCCTAGGCTGGGCCCCTCTTGCCAGAGCCAGAGTGCACGACCTGCCTGGGATGCTCCAGTCCCAGGGGCTCTCGCCTGGAGGCCAACAGGGTGGCAGGAAAAAGGCTCAGCAAGTGGAAAAAAAAAGAGCTGAAAAAGACTTGAGTTGCAGAGGGGAAAATATAATATGGAAAAAGAACGCATGGCGGGGGTGGTATTTGTAAATGTGCTTTACAGGTAAATGACTTCTGCATGAAAGTCTGGAATTTCACCTCTCCCCATCCCACCCCTAACACCCCAGCATCTAGACTTCTCGGCGTCTGCACTGGAGGGGCCCTGGGAGGCAGACTTTTAAGGCAGGCCAGCTCCTTCCCAAGGTGGTGGGGCGCTGGGGGTGAGGAGGAGGGGAGAAGGCAGCTGGGCCACCCACCGCTCCTTGGGGCCTCGGGATTCCTCCTGGCTTTCATGCGCCCATTTTCTCGTTCTCAGAGAGCCAGATACAAGCGACCGTTCAGGGAACTGGGCCATTTCAGGGCTGGCTTGGCTTCAAGGGCCCTTGGAGATGTCTCTGTGGAGAACAGAGGGCTGGGCAGGGACCCTCTTGTAGGGCCCTGGCTGCTTCTGTACCCCTCATCCTGCAGTTGTCTCTGCAGCCAGGGAACCAATGTGGTCTTCAGCCAATCCCAGTCATGCAGAGATGCTAGTCCCATTTGCAGACAAGGCAGCCAGTGAGATCAGAGGAGGCTCAGAGGTCATGGAGCCCACACTCCAATCTCCACAGCACCTCTCCCTCTCCCCCTACTTTCTTTCTTTCTTTTTTTTCCTTTTCTTTTTTTTTTTTTTTTTTTTTTTTTTTGAGACGAGTCTCGCTCTGTCACCCAGGCTGGAGTAGCAGTGGCATAGTCTTGGCTCACTGCAACCTCCACCTCCCAGGTTCAAGCAATTCTCCTGCCTCAGCCTCCCTAGTGGCCGGGATTACAGACGCCTGCCACCACACCTGGCTAATTTTTGTATTTTTGATAGAGACGGGGTTTCACCATGTTGGCCAGGCTGGTCTCGAACTCCTGACCTCAAGTGATCCACCCACCTCAGCCTCCCAAAGTGCTGGGATTACAGGCGTGAGCCACCGCACTCGGCCACTTTCTTTTACCCTCTTTCGCTCTCCCCTAGGAACACCCCCGCCTACACACACACCACTGCTGCCATCCATTCAGTCTTTGCCAGAGCAGGCCAGTGACAGGAAGTCACTCCTTCTTGCCCTTGACTAACATCAGCCAAAGCTAATTCCTTCTGTCCTAGATGCAGGTGATCACTAGTTAGGAGCAAAAGGAACAGAAAGAGCCCGCTGCCTCCCCACTTCCCCCAAAGCTCTGACTCCCTATCCTCCTTCTCCCCTCCCACAACCCTCTTTCTCATCTTTCTGCCCACTCTAGACCCAGAGTCCCCTCAACCCCACCCTTACCTCTAACACTGCCCCTATTTTTGGATAAGAATAAGGAAGTCCAGAGAGAAGAAAGCACTTGCCCAGGATCACACTGCCATGTATGCAACAAGCATTTTCAGAGCCCTAACCGCCAGGCTGGGTGCTGGGGGGATCGGCCTAGCGGAATGTTGCCAGAGCACTGCATTTCCCAAGGAGGTGCCCAGGCTCAGGCCCAAAGGAATGAAAGCATGAGTAAGGGATCGCTGGCACAAGTGGTGAAGCAAGTCCTGGTTTGGGGTTTTGGGTTTTATTTTTATTTTTATTTTTATTTCAGTTTAAAGCAGGCACTGCCTGATGTAAGCATTTTCACCAGGGATGCCGGTTCTTGTGATTAAAATCCTTGTGCTTGCTCTCTCCATAGCAACTCTTCGCCACATCAAGCTCTCTGGGAAACTGACCTAGTCATCACAAAGTGGCGTGCTGAGCCAAAGATCACAGGGACTAGACCAAGGGGCCCGGACTGGGTGCCCGAGCTGGGCCTACAGATGGGGCCAAGGCCAGGGACCACCGCCAGCAACCACCAGCAGCCTAGGGCTTGCCCACTGGCCCCAGAGGCTATGTCTCCTCTCTGACCCAGGGCGTGGCTTCAGAGCTCTGCCGCCATCTCAGCAGCAGCAGCCCCAAGGGCAGCTCTGCGGGAAGAGGGATGGCTCAGCGGGCGTTAATGAGTGGGTGAGGAATTGCTCTCTTGGCTGGCCTGGACCCACCTCCCTGCTCCAGGCAGGCACCCTCCCAGTTCCTAGCTCCCTTTTGAGGTGAGAAATGAGCACACTCCCAACAGGAAAAGCCTAGACCGTGTTTCTGAAAGTGGCCTCTGGGACCCTTCGGCAGTCAAATTCCCTGGGAGACACGCTTAAGCTGCAGATTCCTTCCTGCATTCCACCTCCGACATTGAGAGTGATACCCACAGGGCCTCTTGTCTTTTCCTTTTCCAGTCTCTTCTCCACTCAGACCTGTCCCTCCCACTTTGCTGTCAGTTCTCAGTCATTTCTGTGCCCCAGCGCCCAACACAGAAAGTGATCAAGAAAACACCTGCCAAATGCATCAATATGTGTCCCTGAGAGAAGTTAATCTGGCTCAGTTTCTAATCAATGGCACTTGAGCAAGTCCCTCTCTGTGCCTCAGTTTCCCTTTGGAAAAATGAACTGACAACAGCCCTGCCCACCCTCTGACCCATCCAAAGGCTACAAGTGAAGAAAGCTAATGAGAAATGTGGCAAAATGTTAATAGCGGGAATTCAGATAAGGCTTCAGGAGTTCTCTGCACGATTCGTACAACTTTTCTATGAGTTTTAAATCAATTCAAGGTAAAAAAAAAAAAAATTAAAGATAAAAAGTAACAACAGTGCTGGCATGGTGGCACTCGCCTGTAGTGCCAGCTACTCGGGAGGCTGAGGCACGAGGATCGCTTGAGCCCAGGAGTTGGAGGCTGCGGTGTGCTATGATCATGCCTGTGACTAGCCACTGTACACCAGCCTGGGTGACAAGGCGAGACCCCAGCTCTAACAAAAAAAAAAAAAAAAAGTGAAAACAAAAAAGAAAGCGAGTCAGACTTTAGTAGGCATGAGAAATCACCCTAAGAATTAAGTGTTCTTTAGTGAGTCACTTTAAATGTGGGTAGATACTGTTTGCATCATCAGCAGTAATTTCTAAACTGTTTTCCTCAGGTAGGGGCCCACATCCCAGTCAGCATCTCTCTCTCCACCTAGTCCCACTTCACTCCTTGCCACCACAGCCCTGAAGGAGGGCACCATAGTCCTGGCTCAGCTACCTTCCGTGACAGAGCACCTCTGTGCCAGGAACCTAGCACTTGCAGGCACCCAGTGCAGCAGGTGCTCCTGGCTTTAGCCACCCTTCAGTACTGGTGAGAAAACAGAGGCCTCAAGGGGTTGCATGAAGGGCCGAACTTTGCACAACTGGATGGTGGCTGAGCTGGGGTTTGAACCCAGGCTGACCTCTGAGCCATTCTCTTAACCACTAGGCTATGAAGGTGCCACCCTCACCTGCCACACACCTGACCAGGTGTGGGACAGTTCAGCCCCTCCTCCTCTTCCCGGCCTTTGGAAGCAATGATGGCAACCTCTCCTGAGCATCTCTCAGGGACTGGTCCCCTGATGGCACTGCCCTTGTCTTGGCATCAGCCGGTTCACTATGGGCACAGTGGTAACGAATGCAAAGTCCCTGGACTGACCCTAAACATGAGAGCCCAAAGGCCCGGACTGCAAGGGGTTGCCGCACTGGAGAGCAGCTCTCCTCTCTGGCACTGGTCCTGTCCCATGCCGCCAGGGACTGGCAGTGGGGGCAGCCTCAGGGCTCAGCAACAGAAGGAAAGCTTGTGTTACATGTGACCTGGCACCTTATAAGTTGTGGCTTGAAGCAAAACCCGCACCAAAGGGGGCAGTCACCTGTGGAAGCTTGAGTAGGGAAGGAGGAAGGCAGGCTTCTGGCTTCCAGAATGCACCGAGCCAGAATTGGGGGAGTTTGCTTGGCATGCAACTGAAGACAGTTCAGGGAACAAGTGCCGATGCCTATCGTGGCCAGGTCCTGGGCCCAGTGCTAGGGACCCAGAGTCCCTGCCCTGCCAGATCTCAGGAGGCCTTGGGGACACTGGGCAGGAAGACAAGGAGCACAAGTCAGGCTGAGGGAGGCTGAGCTGAGGCGCTGGCTGCCCCTGGCATCACTGGCCTCACGTGGGAAAGGCTTTTTCTGGAGTCTGGACTTGAGCTGAGCAGGAAGTGAGGTGGACAAGCACTGCTGCCATTTGGATTCAGATGGCAACTTCTTACTGACAGATGGCCTCTCTGTCACTCCTCAGGGCAAGGCATGGAGCTGATTTCTCTGTGGGCCCCCATATGCAGGAGCTCAGCAAGAAGTGGTTTATGATCTTTCAGGAGTAACGGGGAGGTTAGACTCCAGCAGCTCCAAAGGACGTGCGGGCCTTGACCTGGTGGCTGCCGAGCTCCTCCTCCTGCTTCCAAGCCCTTCGCCTCCAGGAAGCCTTCCCTGATCTTCCCAGCCAGGGGTGCCTCGCTGCTCCAGGACTGAGGAACCCCTAATGTTTTCATGCTACTCGGAGCTGCAACATCCTAAGTGGTCCTGGGCCACCTCTGTTGCTTGAGTCATGAGTGTCCAGAGGATGGAAATGAACAGATCTTGAGCACCTGCTGCGTGTCTGGCCCTGCACTGAGTGCCTTCCATCAGCTCCACACGGCTGAATGCACAGCATCCAGCCAGGGGCTGGGAATTGCTGGAAGGAGGGGCAGGTGAGAGGGATCTGTTCCTTCCCATCCTGAAGTGGCCTGGGAGCGATGAGGGGAACAGCGGAGGCACCAAGGCCTGCCAGAAGGCTGGCCCCTCATCTGTGCATCTGTGTCTTGGCCACTTGCTGGCCTCTGAGCTGCCCCTTGTTTTTCAGATGAGGAGCGGAGGCCCTGGGAAGGCAGGACCTCTGCAGCTCTGTTCAGGCCTATCAACCTGTGCACCCCTGCCTCCCGCCCCCAGCCAGGTACGACAGCCAGAAGTCTGAAGGGCCATGAGACCAAGGCAGGACTTAGTCCAGGTACTGAAGCCTCAAGCACTGCTGGATGGGGTGTGAGAGGCCCTCTCTCGGGGCTCACAGCTTTGGGGCCTCCCATGATGCCAAGGCTTCGTGCCGACGGCTCAGCAAGAACACAACTCCTACCATGCCTCAGATGTCCCAAAGCCGGGACACACCCACCACCTACTTTATCTGAGTCCCCAGCAGCCCTGGGTGGGAGGCAGCTTGACGTGTCACCCCCTTAAACCGACAGAGTACCCAGGTGTCCCCAGCTCAGAAGTGGCAGATCAGGCAGGAGCACCTGAGCTTTCGGCCTTTTTGTAAGGCAAGGTATCCCTCTGCCTTTCCAAAGAGGACAGACTCTTGGCTCCCTCTGCCCCCATCAAAACAATCCAGCCACAGAGCTGGTGCAGTGCCGATCCTGTCGATAACACCCAGTGACACCTGATTCGGCGCCTTCTGTCTGAGTGTGAGCAGCCACCATCCTCATGGCCCTCCCCAAGATTGCCCTGTACCCAGCACATGCACCTCACAGGCCCCAGGGCGATTGAGGGGATCCTCTGGGTGAGCCAGCCTCTGGGTCTCAGTTTCCTCATCTATAAAATGGGCACAGGGGGACGGAGGGATATGAGATTCCCTGATTCTTAAAGGCCTGCAGTCAACTCTCAGAGCATCCTGGCCCCTCGCCGTTTACTAACAATTAAACCGTGTCTTTCCTAAAGGGCAAGACAGAGGGATCAGGCTGGCAAGGGGGACACTTGCCTCTGTAGGGGACGCTGGCCTCCTCTGCCTGTCAGTCTTTTCACTCACAGCGAAAACCAGAAATCCACTGACTCCCGGGGGGAACCCGAAGAGAGATGCTTGGAGCTGGTAAGGGTTATGGATGGGGAAACTGAGGCCCTGACTTGTCCCCAGCTGGGCACGGACTGGGTGCCCCCCACTGCCTCCAAGCAGGGCCGCATCCAATGGCGACTCGACAGCCCTACCTGGCACCGGTGCCCGGCTCGTGGGGCGGGTGGAGGGTCGGGCAGTCGCAGGGCGCGGGCTCCCTCGGGTGGACGGCGCCCGGCCGGGCCGGGCCGGGCCGGGGAGGCAGGCGCGGGGCGCGGGGCGCGGTGCACAGCGGGGAGCGCGCAGGGAGGCGAGGAGGCGCGGACTGGGCTCCGCCCGCAGGAGAACAAACAGGTTTTCTCCGGCCGCCCGGAGCCTCGCCCCTCGCCCCTCCCCTCGGCCGGCCCCTTCCTCTGCCCCTCCTGGGGTAGGTAGAGGCGCCTGGCACATTCCGCACATTCTCCCGCCAGCGTCCTCCGCCCGCCCGCCCCTTCTCGGCCCCGCCCCGCGGGGCTGCTGGAGAAATCAAGTCTGGGGCTCCCCTTGTCGAGCACGGGGCGAGCTCCAGAAGGCTCTGCCGTGATGGAAAACTTCCAGGCAAATTCCTCCGGGCCCGTGGCCCCCAGGCCGGGAAGCCTCCGCCACGTGAAGGGCCCCCGCTCCTAGTTGCGCGATCTGGCCCCGGCACAGGGCCAACGACTTCCACAGATGCTGTCGGGTTAATTCAGTCGAGAACTACCGTTCCTAGATCCATTTTACAGATGGAGATCCCAGACAGGGGCGGGGAGGGGGGCGGGGGGCTGGCGGCTGAGATCATCCAGGAAGTCCTGCAGGCAGGAAAGGAGGAGAAGAGTGAGGGAGCCGCTCATCGTGGAAGGCCATCCTGGGACGGACCCGGGGCTCACAAGGCACAGCAAACGGGGCTATCTCCCAGGCTGGGCGACGAGATACAGCCAGACTCCCAGAGCCAATGCGGTTTGATGTACCTGTGTCACGCGTTGGTGCTCACCGAGTGCTTTATTGTGTGCAAGGCCCTGGGCTGGGGCTAAGGATGGAGAGAGCATGGAGGAAAGACCCCTCACCCCACGGCCTCCCAAACAGGGAGACAATTAAGCCAGCCCAAGAAATGGCATGGACTTGGCCAGGAGTTGGCCTACCAGGGTGGTAGGCTCAAAAGAATGGACCAGCTGCTTCTCCTTCATCAAGGCCTGCCAATGTGGTGTTTCCATGGCCCTCCAGTCCACCCACTTCTCCCTGTGCCTGCTGCCACCACCCTAGTCCAGACCTGGCCCCGAAGACCAGCCTCCTTGCTGGTGTCCCCCTGCCTCTGGTCTTGCCTTCCTTTCCCTCAGTCTCTACACGGAGGTCAGGTTAAAAGTTCACGTGTGTCAATATGATCAGGTGCTCTCCTGCTTGCAACTCCTCCATGGCTTCCCATTGCTCTCAGGGTAAAAGCCAGACTCCTTGAGACGACCTATCCCTGCAGGTCCAGCCACTCTTCCCTTTGTTCAATACATTACAGCCACACTGGCCTTTTTCCATTGCCTTCTGAATACATCACATGGCGCTCACCTTGGGGTGTTTGCTCCTGCTCCTCGGACTCCCTAAAATGCTCTTCATCCCCGTCGGGCTAGTGAGCTCTTAGTCATTCTTCAAGCCTCCACCCAGTGTCCGGAAAGCCTCCCCTGCCTGCCACCCAGTCGAGCTGATCACTTCCTTCTGTGCACCCCTTAGTTCCCTCAGATGACATCAATCCAGCATAGTGGCTGTCACCCTCTATTGTTCTAGATCCTGAGCTCTGGGAGGGCAGGGCCCCTTCTGATTCATCACTGGGTCACGGAGACCAGCACAGGGCATCCGAAGAATTTGCAGAAGGAAGTGATGGATGGGTGAGTGAGGCTGTGGAAGCTGTCCTCATCCTTTTCTTCTTGGGGTTCATGAGATAGGGAGAAGGCGACCCTGTGTGTGCTTAGGGGGTTGTATATAAAGTCACTTCTGTTCATGTCCGTCTCTTGCCAACAAGCATTTTTCTGCTTCCAATATTGTATGCCCCTGTCTGGTGGCCAGCAACTAACACCTCCCCTCCTCCACTGTGGCTACTGGTGGCCATGGATTTGGCTTGGCATCTTACCTCCTAAACATGTTTACTGTATGACTTAGGCTGTGTCATACTCTTTGTCTGGGTCCCAGTCCTCTTCAAGAGCCCCTAGTTTGAAAGGGTAGAAGGTAGAAGACATCATGATGGGTGAGATGTAGGGCAAGGAAGAGGGAAAAGGCAAACTTGTTCAAGAGCCCTGAGTCAGGGGTGGGGGGCCCAGCTGGAGAGCATGAGCAAATGTGGTGTCCAACGGCACGGCCAGCAAGTGAGGACTGCCCCAGGCTGGGCCGCCCCAGGGCCTCAAGCTCTTCCCATGTCCCAGGTGACTCAGTCTCTGCCCAGGCCCGATCTGTCACGACTGCTCCAGCCAAAGAGATCAGCCTTCCCTGAACCCCTCCCTCCCTGCCAGGCTGCCAGGCCCTGCAGCTGATCTTGCCTGCAAACGGGTTTGACTTGAATGGTAACTGCCCTGCCCTGCCCTGCCCACCTGTCCATTGCCCCAACAGTCTTCCACTTCCACGCCTGCCAGGGCACCTCTAGTCACCTCAGCCAGGCTTCAGGCACCTGCTGGCTTCTTCAGCCTCTTCAAGCACCAGACATGCCCAAATGACATGTACCCAGATAGACCAAGTGCTCAAATACCACCAGGACGCTGCACAAGATGCTCCCTTTGTTTGGAATGACATTTCCTCCCCAGGGACACCAGGTGGCCTCCACTTTCTCTCAGCAGTAACATTATCTCCTTCATGAACCTTCCCTTAGACCTCCCTCAAGTTCTAGGCCAAGGCTGTGGTGGCTGCTGCCTGCCTCCAGGCTGGGCTCTGTCCCTACCTGGCCTGAGCTTGGCCCTATCCTTTCCTATTCACATCTCTTGCACTTTTCCACCCATCCGCAGCTCCAAGACAGGCCAGCTCCCACCCCCTGGCTCTGGCAGAGTTCTCCTGAAGTCCCTCCAGCTTAGGCAGCAGTGCCACCTCCAGGGGACTGGACAGTCTCTTCCCACCAACAAGCAGGCCCTCAGCAAGGCTCTAAGTGAGAGGTAGGGGCTTCAGGGTGGGGCCAGGCTGGGCTGTCTGGGCAGGCAAGAGGCTGAAAGGTAGAGGCAGGGAGTAGCAGGTGGTGAGCCCTGTGCTGGAGAAGCCATAGCTCACAAGCAGGCCGTGGAGGCAGCGTCTCTGGGAGGCTGCATCTAAGCAATGAGATGGGTAGCACGGCAGGTGGCTGCTGGGAAAGAACTGGCCAGCAGCACTCCTCAGCTCCAGGGGAGGCCCCATTCTGATCTCCAGGGCTGGGAAGAGAACTCAAGCAAGGTGATCTAGCCCCAGAGTTCCCAGGCTAGGAGGTGGGCACAGTGGCTCACGCCTGTAATCCCAGCATTTTGGGAGGCCAAGGAGAGAAGACCGCTTGAGCTCAGGAGTTCAAGACCAGCCTGAGCGATATGGTGAGACCCCGTCTCTACAAAAAATACAGAAAACAAAAAGAGTTACCAGGCTAGAGGGGGAGAAAGAGGGGTTGGGCCCTGAAAGCTGTCAGGCCGCAAAGCTCCCCCAGGCAGTGTCCTCAGCTAGAGGGGACTGAAGACAGGCAGGCAACCTCAACACTTCAGTTGTACAAATGGGAAAACAGAGGCCCACAGAGGGACAAGATGTTGCCAGGATTACACAGCTAGTCTGAGGCAGAGCTGGGCTTAGAACCTGGGGTTCCAGCTGCTCTGGATGGAGCCCCTGCCCAGCTGGAGAGAAGCTGGGGTGCTCAGGTTCATGTGCGGGGAGGGCTGGGCTCCTGCTTGATCCCTAATCCCCTCCTTCCCGGGGCCCGCCCTGCCACCTCATCCTCTTAAGCTCTTCAACCGGTTTACACTTGCTGGGTGACTCTGCTGACTCCAAGCAGGGTGGATGCCCTGGAGGCAGGGGTCCCCAGGTGTGATTGCAGGTAGGATGGGTCCTTTGAGCCCCGAACCCGTGAGGCCAGGCCCTTGTGTTTGTAACCAGCTCTCCTGCTAGGAGCTGGTCCAGCCTCTCAGCATGTGGAGTGGCTGCTCCTCTCCCCCTGTTCTCAGCCTGCACTCCAAGCTACGGGGTTGTGGTCCCCCTCTCTGGAACACACACACATTCTTACTTGCCCCACTGCACTGCCACCCCAACCCTGGCCAGAGACCAGTCAGACCCTGTCCCGGCCTGTTGCGGCTCCCAGTTTGGGGGAGGAGGCAGCCCAGTTCTACTCCAAGGGACAGCAGCCATGCCTGGGGATTGTTTGCTGTGTGAACAGTGGTCTCATTGGGAGCAGTGGCCTTGTCACAAAGCAAGGAGAGAGGTGGTCTGACATCTGCCACTCCTGTAGCCTGGATCCCCACTGCCGTTTGAATCTACTGGTTCGAATGAGCCCAGGAAACTCTCAGCCATCAGTCTTGGTCTGTGTGACCTGATGCCCCACAACACAGGCTCTGCCTTTTGTCTGTGGCTCTGAAGCAGCCCCAGGCCAGGCCTCCTGAGCACGAGTGCGCGAGTGGAGCCAAGGCCTCGCTGGCAGATACTCCCTGCATGCCCTGAAGAATGGCTTTTTGCTGCTTTAAGAATCATCCACAGGTCGGAAAAAGAATGTTCTAATTGGAAAACCTCCCCGCCATGGTTTTCCGGAGTTTTAGTACAGTTGGCCGGCAGGGAGGCTCCTGGGATAAGGAGGAAGGGAAGCCATGAGAAGGAGACAGTGGGCTCCCTGCCCAGCGCCCCCTCATCCCCCCAAGCTCAGCTCAGCCACTGCCGGCTAGGGGCCGTGCCGAGGGCCCCCGCGGTCCTCAGCCTGGAGACTCTGGAGGCTGCCTGGCCTCAGCTGGGAGCTCCTCCCCCAGAGCTGGGCCCAACCCCGCCCCCCAGGGGCCCTGCTGCTGCCCCAGAAGCAGCCCAGGCTCCTAGGACCCTCTGGCAGGGCTGGTGCTCAGTGGGCATTGTGAGTGTGCGCCTGGAAGAGGAAAGGTGTGGAAGCTGCCACATGCTCAAGAAATGGGAAGGTCAGAGTCAGTGTTGGGGTCTGTGAGCACCCCCCGCCCAGACCTCTCTGGGGCCCCAGGCTGGGAGGTCTGGCAGAGAGATGCAGGCTGCAGGTGAACGCTAACTTCCGAGCAGCTAGATCTGTCCTGCGAGGGAGGGAGCTCCGACTCTGGGGCCCTGCTAAGCCTGGCCTGGCTAAACCACTGGCTGAGGGAGCTGAAACTACATCAACCAGAGGGTATGTCTGGCTCTGAGAGTTGCGGATTTGTTTCTTTCTGTCTTTCTTTCTTTTTTTTCAGTCTGCCACCCAGGCTGGAGTGCAGTGGCACAATTAAGGCACGCTGCAGCCTCAACATCCTGGGCTCAAGCAATCCTCCCATCTCAGCCTGCCTAGTAGCTGGGACTGCAGGCACGCACCGTCATGCCTGGCTAATTTTTTGTAGAGATGAGGTTTCACCGTCTTGCTCAGGCTGATCTTGAACTCCTGGTCTCAATCAACTCATCTGACTTGGCCCCCCAAAGTGCTTATGCCTGGGATTACAGGCATAAGCCACCATGCCCAGCCATGTTCCTTTCGGCTGGGCACTGCCCTTGGCTTGGGAAATGCCCACCTGGGAAGAGGAAATGCAGTGGATCCCTAAAACACCATTGCAAATCCAAGTCCTCTTCACACAGGAGAGGAAAGGTTACTGGGTTTCACCTCTTAAAGGGTGTATGCTTCTTTATTAGTTTTTCCCAGAAACCTCCCTGGGTGCTTAGCTGCCTTGATTTCCTCATGGAGAGCAGCCTTTGGAGATTAGAGGGGAGAACAGCTCAGAGGGTGCCCCTTTGTTCAACTGAGCAGGACTGTGGTCCCCGACCTTTGGAGTCAGACCTGCTGCTTTTCTCCTTCTTCTGCCCACGCTGGTGCTGGTCAGAGCCTCACTTGATGAAAACTCTAATTTTCTCAGCATGGGGGAAGGGGCTGGCTCTCATCAAAAAGGATTGGACCAGCCTGGCTGGGGGATGCATTTGGCTCCTGTTGATTGCATTTGGCCCAAGTAACCTGTACTTGGAGACCTTGAACTCGACCAAATAACTCTAGCCTTCCTGGCATTGTGCCGTCTGTTCCTCCTCTCCTTCTTCCCTGACCTGTCCCATCCCAGGCCTTGGGGACTGCAGCTCTGTAACCTGTAACCAGCACATGTCTCTAGAAATCCACTGATTACTGCAGGTGCCACTGGCCACATGTGGCTATTTAAATTTCAGTGAATTACAAAGGAATAAAATAGGAAATTCTGCTCCTCAGTCACACTGGCCACATTTCAAGTACTCAATAGCCCCATGTGGCCAGTGGCTACTGTGTTGGACAGCACAGATAGTGGACATGTCCATCATCACAGAAAGTTCTAGGATTGCACCACCCCGTATGCTGCCCTTCTTGGAGGGAGCTATCCACTTCCTCCTAAACTGAAGCCAGGCACCCTCCCGGCAGCTCAATCCAGAGGAGGCTCTTCCTTCTCCCACACCCCAGCTACCTCAGAATAGTCCAGTTTGCCATTGGATGAAAACCTCCCCGCTTTGAGGCCCAGGCCAACTGGCAACACCATCCCCCACCTGACATTCAGGCAGGTCTTTGCCCTGGATGTGAGAAAGTGACTGGGAGGGTGAGGGTGAGAGCAGTGAGGTGTGGTAGTGAGTGTGTGACTTGAGCATCCATGCTTGTGGCTTAGCTATCCCCAACCCTCAGGCTCCCCAGGCATCTCCCAAGACCCTGTCAGCTCCACCACAGCCGCTTCTTCCCACAGGTGCAGCCTGCCTGCTGTTGCTTCCTCCAGAATAGAGAATGCAGGCTTTCCAACTTCTTGCCCCAACCTCCTCTCTTTCCAGCAGGCTCGTTCAACCACTTCTGTGACAACTATCTTTCAAGCTCCCAACTGTTGGCTGCTCCACTTTCTATCCATCCATTAGTCCTTTCCTCTCTTCATTTCCCTCCCTATCCAGCTTACTCAACCGCTGTCTTGTGAACATCCTAATCTTCTCACCCTACTGTCTCTTTGTCACCTCCACCTGATGATAATGGCATCAAATCTGGACAAAGCTAAATGTCTATATTCTTCATGCTTGCCCCAAGGCAAAGAACCATGCTGGCAGACGTCACGCAACTGTGCAGAATGGTGCCAATATAAACTTCTGGATTCCACTCCTTCTCCCCTTCATAGACTCTTCCCTCTTTATAATTATCCCTTTCTCTTCTACATCATAAAAATGTCTGTTTCATTTGGAGCTTTCCCATCAACATAAAAAAAAAAAAAAAAGAATCTCACCTGACCACACTCCCACCTCTAGTTACTGCCCCATCTCTCCACTTTGCTATTGAGCAAAACTCCTCAAAAGAGTTGTCTAGACTCACTGTCTCTCCTTCTCCTCCCATTCTCTCATAAACTCACCCGGATCAGGACTTCAACCCTACCACTCCCTTCACATCATTCTTGTCACCAGTCATCTCCATGTTGCTAAACCCAGTGTTCACATTTCTGCCTTCACTTACCCCGTGGCCACAGTTGATCACTCCACTTTCCCCTTCTGGAAAAACTTGCTTCTCTTGGCTTCCCTGACACCCACTTATCTGGAGGCATGAAGGCTATGAGCACAGACTCTGGAACTGGACTGCGTGCAAATCCCAGCTGTGCCAATTAATAGCTGTGTGACCTTGGGCACGTTACTTGCCCTCTCTGAGTTTCCATTTCTTACCTGTACAATAGAGATGAGAGTGCCAGCATCTACCTTCATAGGTTGTTGTGAGATGACATGGGATGGCGTGCATAAAGTGCTTGGAATGGAGTTTGTTACATGGTGGTGCTCAGTGAATGTTTACTATTGCTACTTTTGTTACTTGAAATCACCACATGAATGTCTGAGTCAATCCAAATGAAACATGTTCAAAACAAACTCTTGTGCCACCATCCTTCACCTTCCAAACCTCTCCTCCCTCAGTTTTCTTCATCATCAAAGGCACCTCCCAAGGCCTAGGTGTTTAACTGATCTTTCCCTCGTCTCCCATGTCCAATCCAGCAGCCAGTCCTGATTGCAGCTCCAAACCATCCACTTCCACTGCCACTATCCTGGGACACAGTAGTGTCCCCGATCACCTCCTTCCCAGTCTCCTGGCTTCTGCGCTTGACTCCTGCATCTACTTTCTGCAAAGCAGCCAGAGCCATCTTCCCCTCTGCCCTGCTTGGGTGATAAGGTGACTCCATGTCCAGCAGTCCAGGCTAGAAACAGGGGCACCATCTGAGACTCCTCATTCCCTCTGCCATCCAAGTCTAGTACCTGCTATGGCTCCAGCCTCTTCACGCTCTAAGCTCCTGTCATATGGAAGCCATACTGGACTTCCTGCTGATTCCCAACATAGGCCTCCATTCTGTCTCTAGAACTTAGTGCTGACTGCGGTCCCTCGCACTGGTTAACTGCTACTATGCTCATGTCTGTTCAGAGGTCATTGCCTTCACAAGAAGTCATCCCTAACCACCAAGACCCAGCTAAGTGTCTCTTCCACCGCCTTCCACCCTAGCACTTATTACCCTGCAGGGTCGCTGTCTCCTGTGTCTCCTCTCCCTTCCTCCTGGATGTAGGAAACACACCTCATGCTAGTATGATGCCTGAGTAGGCACACAGGAAGCAGCTGCCAAATTGATGAACGGAGGGATAGAGTGTAGTTTCAAATGCAGTGTGTGATCAAGGTGGCATTTTGAATCTGTGGATTAAAAGTGTATCATTCAAGAGATGATGTTGGAATAACTGGCCATTTGGAAAAAGAAGCTAGATTTCCTACCTCACTCTCCACACCAAAATAAACTCCAGATGGCTCAGAAATTTAATGTAAAAAAAATGAAACCATAAAAGTATGAGAAAGAATCCTGGGGTGGGGACAGCCTTTCTAAGTATGTCATGAAAACCAGAAACCATAAAAGATGGAGAAATTAAAAACTTCTGTATGGCAAAACCCACCATAACTGTCATTAGACAAATGACAAATGAGGAAGAGTTATTTGAACTGCATATGACAGCGAAAGGCTTAATCTTCCGAAAATAAAAAAGGACTCCTTTTAAAGCAACCCAGTAGGAAAATCAGCAAAGGACCAAGGAAGTGAACAGATAATCACAAAAGAAGATTTGCGGGTCACCAATTAGCATATGAAGGAAATGCAAAGAAAGTCAACTGTTTCCACCCCTGCCTCAGGTATGTAAAACTTAAAACAAATCTGCAAAACCCTGGGGTACCTGGCGTGTGGGAAAATGGGCACTCTTCTGCCCCAGGGGCTCTGAGAGTGGGAGGATAAGTCAGGGCAACCTTCTGGGTGGTGATCTAAAAATATGCCACAAAATGAATGATGAGGTATCCCTTGGACTCAACAATGCTAACATTTTAAAATTCTTTTTATTATCTGACATACAAAAATAGTACATATATATATTATATTAAATGAGATGCATATAAACATCTTCATCCCCTACCTCCACAGCACCATTATCTACACATTCTGCCCCATCCTGATACAAGAGAACGATGTGTCCTGAAGCAGATGAAAGGTCAGGTTTTCTGCTTGTGCCCTAAATCCCATTTGTTGCCTACCCAGGAACATCTTGCTAACATTTCGCCCTTTCTCCTGCACCATCAATTATTCCCTCTTGACCGGATCATTCTGCTCAGCATGCACACATGCTGGAATTCTTCCCACCATTTTAAAAAACCTTTCTCTTGACCCCATACACCTTTCTAGCTACTGTCCATTCATTCCCCTTCTTCCCTTTACATCAACAATCCTTCAGAGAATTCTCTACACTTTCTCAGAGTCCTCTTCCTCCCTTCTCTTTCACTCCCATCACTACACAGAAATGGCTCTTGTCAAGGTCATCAACCCCCTCTATGTTGCTAAATCCAATGATCAGTTTTCAGTTTGCATTTTACTGGACATGTCAGCAGCATTTAACATTCCCAGATGTGGAGTGAGTTTATCGGGATGTAACTGCATCATAAGTTCAGAATACCCTAAGTAGAAAATGCATTTAATACACTTAACCTACCAAACATCATAGCTTTGCCCGGCCTACCTTAAATGTGCTCAGAATGCTTACACTAGCCTATAGTTGGGCAAAATCATTTAACATGAAACCTACGTTATAATAAAGTGTTCAATATCTCATGTAACTTATTGAATACTGCACTGAAAGTGAAAAACAGAATAGTTGTATGGGACTTCAAGTTTGGTTTCCACTGAATGTGTATCGCTTTCACATCATGGTAGAGTGGAAAAATCGTAAGTCGGGCCATTGTTAAGTCATGAACCATCTATATAATATATCCTGGGGCAGAATTGCTGGGTCACAGGGTATGTGCATGTTCAATCTGACAGCAGAACACTGACTTTCCTGCCTAAACAATTCCCAGTGCTACATATCCTTGCCAACACTTGGTGTTGTCAGATGTGTTCTATTTTCTCAATGCAGTGGATAGAAAGTGTCAGCTCAGTGTGGTTTGGGGTTGTATTGCCAGTACCCTCGCATCTAGGCATTTATCCTCAGGTAGTAACTGCATCAGGGGGAGATAACTAAGTACCTGTATGCTCATTGCAACATTATTCATGATATTTTAAAAAACTCGTTACAAGATAAGTTTCTATCAGAAGATCCATTCCAAAGTTATAACAGGATACTATGTGGCCAATCGAGGTGTTGATTTTAGATCTCTAGTTAGGGGCATGAAAAATGCCAATAATATATTGTTGAATGAAAGAGAGAAATAGCAGTTTGCATCAAAGCAAGTTACATGGCAGCGTAAATAGTGTGATTTCACTTCTGTCAAATTGCCCAAAGGCTTTGAGAAACACCTTCCAGAGTGTCAACACTTGCTATCTTCTAAGATATGGATTTTGAGAGCTGTCTTTTCCTTGTTTTTATTTTTTATGTTTTATTTTGTGTTTTCTGTAGTGTTTGACTTTTTAAAAAATGGGCATATACTTTTTTCCTTTAAAGAAAAGCAATTTGCAAAAAATGCATTCTTATATTTGTTACATTTGCATATGTATAAAAATTATATTAAAGGTTTCACATGAAACTGATCATAACTGCTGCCTCTAGGAAGTGGGTTTGTGTGGGCTGACTGGGAAGATGCTTTGAGTTTTCTCTTTATTCCTTTCTGTACTCTTTGAATTTTTATGGCAGTGTATTACTTTCGTAATAAAAAAGCACTAATAAAAACAACAACAGAAAAGAGTTATTCTTAACACTTAAGCCAGCCCTGCCAGCCCCTGCTGCTGTGGGCCCAGCCCACTCAGCCATTCTGAGGCCCCCAAGTACTTCCCAACAAGCCCGTTCAATCTGTGCCAGACCTCCTCTGGCTGGGGAGCTTTCAAGCTGTTGAGCCCGTGCCAGTCACTGGGCTGCCCAGGAGAGAGTTCCTTCTGCTTCTGGGTGGTGCCTTGAGCCAAGAGCAATGTGTCTTCCCTATAAAGCAGGTGGGAAGGAGAAGCCAGCCCCCCAGAAGGCCCAGAGAAACCTGAGGAGCACAAGCAAGGAGCCAAAGGGGTGTCAGAGGCCAAAAAACTCCAATAGCAAACAACCTATGTTTCCAGTGGAGCATTTTTAAGTCTGTAAAGGTGAGAGCTAGAAGGAAATAAAGACTGCAAAATCAGAAAGGCGTAGCGACACTGAACGTGAACTTATCTACTACACACTTGTATGGCAGAATCAGGGGCCACTCTGAACTGAGAAAGAATTAATTTTACCTAAAACAAACAAAGACAAACAAAGACTTCACTCAGGTGAAGGGACACAGGCAGGTGCTGCTGTACTTGGTGTCAGTGTAGAGAGGTTGTTTCTCAAAGACCACCGGAAGAAAATGCTTCCTCCCCATGGCAGCCCTTCTGAGCTACTGGGGACTGCCAAGCCAACGCACGTGGCTCAGTCCCTTCATGAGCACATCATGTGGTGGTGACTGGGTTTTCCTCTGTCTACCTGACAGCCCGTGAGCTCTAGAAGGCAGAAACCAGCTTATATTCCTCCCTGAGTCTTAGGTAACAGGTATGGGGGCTGGCACGCACCAAATGCTCAGTGAGCATTGGAGGGAACAGACGATGATCGTTTCCAGGACAGAAAGAAACCAGAGATGCCATTTGCAAGTGCCCATGTTTCTAAACTCAAGGTTTAGAACTAGATGTCTGCCAGTATTGCCACCCAATCTGCAATGGCCCAGTATGCCAGGCTCGGGGCGGGGCTGTGGGGTGGCAGGCGAAGCTTGCTCATGCTGTGTCTCCAAATTATGGAGGTGACAAGTCCTTTGGGTTCTAGACTAAGGCAGCCTCTTTGGACAAGTTTGTCTTTTCCAAGAGGGTAGCTTTGGAGGAGGGAACATGATGGCATTTAGCCATTCTTAACGTTTGGATGAAGACAATATTTGTTCACAAGTACGAACCTGGTAAATACCTGGTATATTTTAAAGACAAGTTAAATCGTGTTTTTACATGACATTTTAAAAAGTCACACATATTATTTGTTTTAAAATATCAGAATCGTAGTGGATTGTATGAAGTCACTCCTGCAGACACTTCCTGAAGCCCTACTCCCTGCTCCCTCCCCACGATACAGGGCTTCCAGTGGCCCATACTTGTGTCCTGAGCACCTGCTTTGAGCCAGGCCTGGACCCTGAGGGGTTCAGTCTGGTAAAAAGCCACCTAGTACTGAGGCAAAAACTGGTAGCCAGAGGATGGAGGAGTAGCGGTGATGGGAGAGGGAGTCAGAGGAGGGGCAGAGGGTGTTGACGGAAAAATAGAAAGAGATGGTCCTCAGAAGAATAGACTAGAAGGGGAGCCTGAATTCTGCAGAGACCATACCCATTTAGAGGGGGATTCCAAGATCTGTTGAGCCTCAGGCCTCGCCTACAGCTTGCATCCTGGCATGGTGAAATGATGTCTACCTTGGGTGGATGAGAGCTCCTCCAGTCACAGGTATTAGCCAGGGCTATGCCTACAGGGCAGTTAAGGAGGCTGCTAGATGTTTAGAAAAAGAGGGAAGGAAGGAGAGATGGGGATGGAGAGGAAAGGAGGAAATTTCTTGTCAGTGAAAGTCAACCATCAGATTGAAGTTGTTTGTAGTTTATTCTCTACTTGTAAAAGTTGGACTTGGTTTTTTTCCAGACAAATAAGTCTTTATTCCTTTCTTATATTTCCCCAGAGGAAAAGGCAGAGGAAGGAGAGAGTGTCATCATGTACTTCAAAAGACTAGAAGGAAGAGATAAGAATCTCAAATGCTATAAAGTCAACCCCAAGACCCAAGGGGGCTCCTGCTCAGCTTGGGAAAAAGGGGTGGGAGCAGGAGAATGGCGCAGGCAGGCCCTTCCCTCCCTACATGGTCAAGATTCCACATAAAGTGCAGTAAACATGGACTCATATTTATCCACCTTCTATTAGCTCATCTTGTGGCCACTTTGATGTAGGTTTCTTGCACCAGCAGAAATGTTCCTACGTGGCTGGGATATACTTTCATCTCCCCGTTCTCTGGCCTCCACTCCCATCTTCGACAAGGGAGACCTCTCCTCCTAAGACTGGAGAGTTAAACTGTTTGCCCCAGCCCCAAATTGAAGGACTGGTGTTTGGTGTGCATAATAGCCAGGAATGAGCTTTGCCCAAAGAGAGTCTGGGCTGGGAAGGAGAGACAGAGGGGCCTGCTGGCCTCAGTTACTTGCACAGATCTTTTATTCAGGAATTAGAGACTCCACGGGTAACAGTTGGGGGAAGGGAATAGGATAGAGATCTGATTTTCACTTGGGAGACAGTGAGGCTGTGGGGCCTGTATGGCAACCGAGTGGATAAGATGAGCTGACACCAGGACACCACAGGGGAGGAGCTCAGAGGAACCGTCCAGGGTAGAGGCCAAGCTTGTAGGGGCAGAGGCAGCTAGCGATGGCCCCTTGAGGCCACGGGAGGGCATGACATCACCTAGGCAGTATGGGAATGGTTGAGTGTGTGTTGGATGATCAGAGAAGGCCAGGAAGGAGCTCCAACCAGCTCCCCTCAAAGAGATCCCCCACGCAAAAAGAGCCTACAGGAAGGTGTCAGGAGTCACCTTTGTTAAGATGCCTCTGAGGCAAGGAGCAGAAACCTACTCAAGTCTCAAAGAGCCTTCAAAAGGGCTCATGTATTTCCCCCACTCCTCCCCCTTCCCATGAGACAGCCAGTGTCCTTTGATTTTCCCAAACAGGGTAGGGCGGCAGGAGGGTCTCAGAGCAGCCAGGGGCTCAGGGAAGAGTGAAACTGAGTCTGAGATTGACATTTTAATCTGGTCTGAGTTTTAACAACTGCAAGACACCAGTAACTTCGGAAACTTGCTCAAGATTCTGTTAATAGATGGGCAAGGCCGATTTGACAAAGCTCAGCTGAAGGGGGTGATTTGAGGGTCCATGTTGACTTAATGCTTTTTATGTCAGGTGCTGTCCCAAGCGCTCTACTGAAAACATCTCATTCCATCCTTGCTACAGCCCTATGACGTAAATACTATTATTATCCCCATTTTACAGATGAGGACTCTATGGCACGGAAGGGCTAGTGAGTGGTGGAGCTGGGATTTGGACCTAGGCTGTCTTACTCTAGAGCCCGGACTCTTAACTTCCAAGATTATTACCCCACTGGGTTCAAATTGCTCAGTTAGCCACTTACATGCGGCATCGGGGACTGTTCGTGGGAGCTGTGCTAACAATGCTAATAATAAAGCTAATATTTGTTGAGGGCTTACTACATGCTAGGTATGATGCACAGTGCTTCTGTCAGTAGGTGTCCTGAGAAAACCCTCCTTGAGGTCTTGATCCTCTTCTTTCTGCCACTTTGTAAGGAGGCTTTCTTCCTTTGGTCAACATTAAATTATTGGGATCCTGCAGGCCTTAGATGTAAGAGAGGCTGATGCAACCTGCTGCTTATGCCAGAGTTTAAACATCTGTGCAAAATGACACATTTGAAAGAAAACATGTGATTGGCTTTTAGCAGGATATTTCTAGAAGGATCAGAGGATGACTTGAACTTGTCAGCCTCGCTTTGAATGTTCGGCTGCTTGCAAGGAGAGCAAGGACTTCACTCCACCTGTCCCCAGCAGGAAACGCCCCACGGCTGTCTTTCTTTCAGGGAGATGTGAGCTCAGCCTGGCTGCTCCTGTTGACCCTGCTGAGATCCTGGCAGATGTGTGGCTCCTTCTGGGGCTGAGCGAGGCAGAGCTGTGTTTCCTGGACTCAGGCTGCCCAAAGGATATCTTCCCTTGCTCCCCACTGGCTGCTGCCCTTACCACCATGCGGCACCCTGCATGGTGGGCAAAGGAGCTGTGACTCTTCCCTCCCCTTTGGGCTAGGGAGGCTATGTGGTTCACGGGAGGATGCTGAACCTCAGAGCAGGGAGATCATTTGCCCAAGGCCATACAGCTGGAAAGTGGGTGAGCCTAGATACCAGTGCAAGTCAGCTGGAACCTTTCAGAGACGTGAGTCCACTAGGTCAACTAACCTGCCCCAGGAGACAGCTCACATTTTTAACAGGTATCCCTGCAGACTCAGGTGTGCTCCAAGGACTGAGGACTACTGCTTCTGAGTGAGGTGGACACAGTGAGAAAGGGAGTTTTAGGAGAGAGATGTAGGGGTGGAACCAAATCAGTTGTGGGCCCAGGATGCTTCCTCAAGCTGGTTTCTCAGCTTTGGGTCCTGGGGCATGAAAGTACCAAGGATAATAAAGATATGAAGACATTCAAGGATGAGGACATTGAATTAAAGTGCATTTCATTCAAAAGTTTCACTGTTGGCCTGCCACTGTTCTCAACTGAATTTCATCATTTCCATTAAGATGAGTTGGCCTGGCAAGACTTGGTTTGCAATTGCAGTGTATACCAACATGAACTCGGTCATGGCATAAGATCCTTTGAATACTTGGCTAAGATTTTGTAGAGTTTTTTCTTTTTTAAATCTATGTTCATGATTGAGATTAGACTCATTTTCCTCCTCCATTCCATTCCCATTAGTGAGGGTTCCCTCTTCGCCTAGTCTGCGGTGAATGGCTAGTGAATTTACTATTGAAACCATTTCGGTCTTGTTTGGGAGATGGAGGCATGTATCAGACAGGGTTCCATCAGAGAAAGAAAACCAGTAGGAGATACATATTAAGAGATCTATGAGAAAGAATTGGCTTATGTGGTGGTGGGGGCTGACTGGGGAGGTCCAAAATCCATAAGGCAGGTCGTCAGGAAGGGCATGCAGGAACTCTTGGACGTGGGCCCAAGCTGCAATCCACAGACAGAATTTCTTCTTCCTCAGGGCAGTCTCAGCTTTGCTCTTAAATCCTTTCAACTGATTGGCTGAGGCTTGCACAGGTGATCTAGGACAATCTCCATACTTAAAGTCAATTATGAAAGACTTTAATCACATCTGCAAACCACCTTCACAACACCACCTAGATAAGTGCTTGATTGATAACTGGGGTCTGAACTGTTTTAACTCATTAACACTTACAACAGCAAATCAGAGAGTTATCAAGTGTTTGAGAAGCTAAAGATACACTAGCACCACAGGGCAGGGCAGTAGGAATAGGATTGGCCTTTCAACAAAAAGTGCTGGGTTAATTGGGTTCCCATATGGGAAAAAAAAATGTCTATGAATCCTTACTACACATCATATAAAAAAATCAGTTCCACACAAACTGCAGACCTAAATGTGAAAGGTAAAACAATAAAGCTTTTAGAAGAAAAACATAGGAGAGTGTCTTTGTGAACTGGCAACAGCCAAAGATTTCTTAAGTGTGACACGAAAAGTGCTGAGTGTGACCAAAAATGTGATAAATTGAACCATATTAAAGTGAGAAACTTCTGTTCATCAAAACACACTGTTAAGAAAGTGAAAGGATACTCAACATGTGGGAGATCTTCACCATACACATCTTCAACAAAACCCTCATCCAGAATACATCAAACAAATAAACAACTCCAGGCCGGGCACAGTGGCACTCACCTGTGATCCCAGCATTTTGGGAGGCCGAGGTGGGAGGATTGCTTGAGTGCAGGAGTTTGAGAACAGCCTGGGAAACACAGCGAGACCCTCCTCTCTACAAAAAACTAGAAAATAAAAAAGTAGCCAGGCATGGTGAAGCACGCCTGTTGTCCCAGCTATTCAGGAGGCTAAGGTGGGAGAATCGCTTGAGCCCAAGAGTTGGAGGCTGCAGTGACCCGAGATCGCACCACTGCACTGCAGCATGAGCAACAGAGTGAGACCCTGTCTCTAAAAAGAAATAAATAAATACATACATACATAACATAATAAAATAAAATTAAGAAGACAGAAAATACTGATTGTTGGCAACTAGAATACTCATATTTTACTGGTGGGGAGGGTACATTGGTACAACCACTTGGGAAACTCAGCTTACCCACTGAAGCCAAATACACACATACTTTCTGACTTAGTAATCCCACTTTCAGGTTCCCACTCAACAGCCTACGGATGTTTTTAAAAACATGTACCCAAGAAATACTCAGAGCAGGACTATTTGTTATAGCCAAAAGCAACCCTAATGCCCATTAAGGTAGAAGGAACAAGTAATTTATGGTGTCTTCACACAATGTAATGCTCTACAGCAATGACAATGAGTGTAGAAACAAATGGATGCAGCTCACAAACATAATGTCGAGGGAAGAAAGCTAAACACCTAAGAGCACATATAGAGTGATTTCTTGTTTTTATTTTTTATTTTTATTTTTTGAGACAGAGTTTCACTCTGTCGCCCAGGCTGGATTTACAGTGGCACGACCTCTGCTCACTGCAACCTCTGCCTCCCAGGTTCAAGTGATTCTTGTGCCTTGACCTCCCAAGTAGCTGGGATTACAGGCACATACCACCACACCCAGCTAATTTTTGTATTTTTAGTAGAGACAGGGTTTCGCCATGTTGGCCAGGCTGGTCTTGAACTCCTGACCTCAGGTGATCCACCGTCCTCGGCCTCCCAAAGTGCTGGGAATACAGGTGTGAGCCACCACACCCGGCCGATTTCTTTTAAATAAAACAGAAAAATGGGTGAAACTAATTTCTGCTCCTAGATGTCAGGGTAGTGGCCATCTTGTTTCTCGGTTTGGGTGCTTTGACATGGATATGTTCTCCTTGTGGGCAGTCATCAAGCGTTATACTTATGTATGACATGCACTTTTCAAAATGTATATTATGCTTCAATACAAAGTCAAAAAACACGAGAGCATGGAACTCTGAGGTTTTGGGGTTTTTTTTAGTTTTTTTGATCTTTTTTCATGATCTGAAGGATTGAAAGATAACTGAGCAGGAATGGCCTTTCTTTCTTTCTTTGTTATTGAACAAAGACGGTCATTGTACTACCCATCATGTTCAAGTCCATCCCGTGGGACACACGGGTGAGGTTTTTAGTGGTCAGTGCCAGGAGCAGATCTGCCTGGTGCATGGATGGTGCTCCTGGCCACAGGGTGGAGGATGAAGGAGAGATCGCACGGAGTCAGGGAGACCTGGAATGGGCCTGTCACTGTTGTCCAGGTTAATGAGTGGCAAAGTCAAAGGCAGGATTCTAACCCTCGTCTCCTGACCCTGTCCACTGCAGCATGCCTGCTGTCTGTCCACCAAAGACCCTGCTGTCGTGGGGACAGCCCCAGCCCTGCACCTCCTCCTCACGCCCTTCTGGCCTTGGTCGGAATCTCTCTCAGCTCTGGCTCCTGGCTCAGATGGCCTCCGACTTGCAGGCTCTTGCCTCCAGGCCTTGCACGCAGCTACTTGCCCAGCTCAACTGATGCTCACCCCCTGGGGCCCTGGACGCAGAGGGATTCTTCTTGGTTCTACAAGGCAGGGGGTACACAGGCCCTCAGGATCACAGGGATGCATTCTGAGGAGATTTGAAAGTACACATGTTTTTGTAAGCTTCTGTTTAGAACGGCCAATAAGACAATCTCAGTGATGTGCAGAGTGCAAAGGTATGTGATTAACACACACGCACACACACACCCACACCCACACAAACTCTTAATCACAGAAACTGTTTGTGTTATGCGTGCTTGATTGGCCAAGTGTGCCCACAGCTGGCCGTTTTCTGAAGCCCATGGAGCTAAAGTGAGTAGACGGCCGTCCCCAGCCATGTTTCGTGGGCACAACATGTTCCCACAAGACAAGGCTCATAGCCCAGCAGTCCCAGATTTCGCTTGTGGCTAGATCTGGGCACAGAATGGAGATGATGTCATCAGAGCTTCACGTTCTTTCATCCAATTAGCTGAGAGTTAATTAGTATTTCCAAAGGGCTTTGAAGATGAGGAGCACTGTTTATTCACAGTTGGGGCGGTGGCAAGCCTGGAGAGGTAATGCAAGGAGTTGACATTAGAATGAGAAGACGGAGCCAATGCTGCCATCTCTGCCTGGCTGAGAGGCTGTTGTGAGACATTTGTGAAAGTGTCTGTATGACTTTGCTAGGATAGCTGGAACAAAGTACCACAAATTGGGTGGCTGGAAACAACAGAAATGAATTATCTCCCAGTTCTGGGGCCAGAAGTCTAAGAACAAGGTATCAGCAGGGCCACGCTCCTTCAGGAGTAGAGGAGGATCCTTGTCTCCTCCAGCTTCTGGTAGCCCCAGGTGTTCTTGACTTGTGGCTGCATCACTCGTCTCTGCCTCCATCTCCATGTGACTGTCTTCCCACGTGTGTCTGTGTCTCTGTCTCTCCTTATGAGGACACCATCATGTTGGATTAGTGCCCACTCTAATGATCTCATATTAACTTGATTATATCTACAAATGTTCTCCTTCCCAATAAGGTCACATTCACAGGCACTGGGTGTTGGGACTTCAACATATTTTTTGGAGGAATACTATCCAACATATAATGGTGCCCATCTGATCTCCAGTGGCCAGTGGGTGCTTCATTCCTGTGAGCTTCCCTTCCTCACTCCTGTTCTCAGCACAGGAACCTGAGAATGACTGAGCAGGCCATGCTTTTCTAGGAAGAGCTGGAAAGAAGACTCTGGGAAGAGACAGAAGTTGTAATAGCTCTTCTTTCATGAATGGGCATTCCTTCTTCAAAGACCTTGGCCAAATCTCAGCCCCTCTTGGAGTCTTGGCCCACTTGTGTAAGCAATGCAGGGCTGACCTATGTGCCCCGTAGCCTGCTCTCTCAGCTCTAAACACTGAAGGTGGAAGGTCAGGCTGAGGAGGTGCTGGAGGCTGGCTCCAAGAGGGCTCTGGGCAGGGCCTGCCCCATCCTCAGGCAGTCCCAGGCCAACTTAGATCCACAGAACTCGGATTCTGGAGGATTCCTTTAGCCCTGGGCCGTTACTGTTTTATCATTATTCCTGGGCTCTCAAGCCTCCTCTTGCCCACCCCCGGGAAGCTTCTCCCTTCTCTTCAGTTCTATTCAACTCATGGCACGAATGCCTGTGCTGGTACTGCAGGGGTCACAGGGAGGCTCCCAGCAGACCCTGCCTTTGAGGACTCCTTGGTCTAGAAAGAGGCAGGTCCAGAGCCCCTGGACACAATCATTAGCTGGTGCCAAACTGGACAGGCACAGAGGGAGCCTCACTCGACCAGGCTACTAGCCCATAGAGATACATGTGGGAGTCAGGCAGGCAGACAGGGCAGAAGGCATTGCAGAGAGAGGCCCCCCAGTTCAGCAGGAGTCCCTCTAAAGCTCCTAAGCAGCCCATGCTCACCAAAGGCAGTGTCTCAGCACCCAGCGTTCCGAGCCAGAGCCGGCTTTGAAGAAGGGAGCAATCAGACACTCATGCTGACAGAACAGGGACCTTGGGAGCTCCTGGTTCCACAGTGGCATGAGGTGCCCTCACCTGAACAGCCTGCAGTGCCCTGGGGCCTTGCCTTGCCTCTCTCACAGGGCCCAGTCTCTGCAGGCTTGGTCTCAGTGCCACCTAGGACCATGTTGGAAGCCCCTTTGTTTGGGCTGTGGCTAGATGGCCTTTGGCTGGGAGGCCTTAGATTCGTCCCTGAACTTCACTCCCCTAAATTCTAATCCCAGCAGCAAACAAGGTACAAAGAGGATGTGTAAGTCTGAGTCCCTCCCCTGCAGGACCTGAAGTCCAGACCCAGGATTGGAAGCCCCAGTCCCGAGCCTGGAGGCAGTGCTGGGACAGGCACTTGCTCACCTGGGCCGCTGGATTCTCGGGCCTTTGTGAACCTGCCCTGCCGATCCTCCCACATTTTCTAGCACTAAGTTGGCACCATCCTATTGGTGACTTCTGTTCAGTTTTCACAATCACTAGCTGGTGCCAAACCAGCCCAGTGAACGATCTGGATAGTTCTGGCAGACAGGGCTGTAGTGATCTAGCAGAGTTTCCTCAAGGTCCTCAGCCTACTGAAGCCAAGCAGGGTCTTTTGTGAGGTGACGCTTTACCCAAGGGCTTGCCTCTCTTAGCCAGCTTCATGTCCACATTCTAACCCCTGAGACCTGTTACTCTTCTTACCTTATATGGCAAAAGGGACTTTGCAAATGCAATTAAGTTAAAGATCTTTAAATGTGGAGATTATCCTGGGTTATCTGGGTGGGCCCTAAGTGTAATCACAAGTGTCCTCATAAGAGAAAGTCAGAGGGAGATTTTACTACAGAAGAAGAGCAGGAAATGTGACCATAGAAGCAGAGATTGGAGTAATGTGCTTCAAAGATGGAAGAAGGGGCCACAAGCTAAGGAAAACAAGCGGCCACCAGAAGCTCAAAAGAGGAAAGAAAATGGAACTCCTCCCTCGGAGCCTCCAGAAGCCTCAGAGCTTCCAACTCCTGGACTTTAGCCCAGTGAAGCTGATTTTGGGGTTCTGGCCCCCACAACTATAAGATAATACATTTGCATTGTTTTAAGCCACTCAACTGGTGGTAATCTGATACAGCAGTCATAGGAAAGGAGTACATCCAGTGTTCCCAGCCAGTACAGAGGCAAGGAGTTCAGGCCACTCAACATTATTCCAAGAGAGTAGAAGGCCATTGAGGAAAAGGATGCTGTCCCTAACTTGCTGTGCATCTTCAGAATGCCCCTTTCCCTGTCTGAAACTTTGGGCTTCCCTATACAAAATGGGGAATGGGGATATTGGGAGACCTTGCTGGACTCAACAGGCTTGTTGAGGATCCAAGGAGAAAGTGCTTGACCACCTGGGAAGGCACTGGCTGGCTGAGGAGGCACTCTCCTTCCCACAACCCTGCTCCTATCATCTTGCTCAGCATTCATCTTTGGTTTTTCCTCTAATCCGCTCCCATCAAAACCACTCAACAAACCTGTAGTGCCCACGGCCTGGCTAGCACTGTCTGGGTCAGAAGCTGGAAGGGCCCCCAAAAGGTCTAAGAAAATCTATGGTTGAGAAGAGCGCCATCAAGGAAGAATATGGAAGGGAGGATGAAGAAAGGACACAAGTCCATGAGCAGGGTATGAAAATCCACGCTGGGCACAAGTGTACTGCCAAATAGGCTGTGCTGCAGCTTCCCTGGGGCCGCTTAGCTCAGCTGGCATCAACTGTGGTTCTTTCCCTTAGCTAGATCAGGAGCTCTGGAAAGGCTCTTGGATAGACTGTCTACCACGGTGGCCCTTACCCCCAGCACAAGGCCAGTTATAAAGTGGGTGTTCAGTGTTAGATTTCAGGGACATTTCCTTGCTCAGTCTTCAGCCTCTTTAACTTCCCAGCACCACCCACGCTGCTGACCATCCTCTCAAGCTTGATCCCTCCTCCCTAGCTTTCCTTGACACCTGGGTATTTCGTTCACTTCTTAATTCTCAGGGTCCCATTTTTTTCATCCTCCTGCTTTTCCTGTGGCTTTCGGTAGCAGCAATAAGCCAAGATGTCCGAAATAACTATCTCTTGCCTTCTAGACTTTTCTACCTGGAAACTGCAAGGTTCATTCAACTCATTATGGCCAGAATGGAATTCAGCTTCTTCCTTGCTGCTACCTATATCTCATCCTCTCCTGGGTCCCTAGCTCAGCAGAAGGCATGGCTGGCCACCAATTCTTCTAAGCTTCAGCCTCCTAGTTCTCTTTATCCCTTCCCCTCCCTTAGCCCCACATCCAATCAATCATCATGGATGGTCCATTCTTGCACAGAATCATCTCTTCATTACGTCTGCACCATAGCCCCGTTGCCTGTTCCTCAGGACAGACACACTCTTACCGTCTCTCCCCTGGACTAGAGGTAGTTCCCCACTGGCGCCCCACCTCTGGTCCCTCTCCCTGCACTCTCCCCACCATCCAAACACAAATGTCACCATGTCACCCTCCAGGGAGTTATCAAGTCCAAGCTCTATCACCCAGGCTGGAATGCAGTGGTGCGATCTTGGCTGACTGCAACCTCCGCCTCCCAGGTTCAAGCAATTCTCCTGCCTCAGCCTCCCGAGTAGCTGAGATTACAAGCGCCTGTCACCACACCTGGCTAATTTTTTGTATTTTTAGTAGAGACAGGGTTTCATCCTGTTGGCCAGGCTGGTCTTGAACTTCTGATCTCAAGTGATCTGCCCGCCTCAGCCTCCCAAAGTGCTGGGATTATAGGCGTGAGCCATTGTGCCTGGCCTATTTTTTTGTTTTGATAGTAGCCATCCTAATGGGATGAGGCGATGTCGCATCGTGGTACTGAGTTGCGTGTCCTTAATGATTAGTGATGCTAAGCATCGTGTGCTCGTGGCCTCTCAGTCCCTCTTAAGCAGAGGTTGACAAACCTTTCCTTTTCTTCTTTTTTTCTCTGACCTCATTCTTCCATCACAAAACCTTTTCTATGAAGGGCAAGATAGTCAATATTTTGACTGGCTTTGTAGGCTAGATGGCCTCTGTCATAACTACTCAACTCTGCTATTGTAGTGAAAAGGCAGTCTTAGACATTATGTAAATAAATGGATGTGGTTGTGTGACAACGAAACTGTATTTACAAAAGCAGGTGGCAAGCGAGATTGGAGCCTGAGTTCATAGTTTGCTGACCTCTGCTCTTAAAGGAAGGAGTGCTTGGGTTATTAATTTCTGCATTTCATTTCTTCTATGGGACTGTGAGCTCTTTGAGGGAAATGGCAGGTGCCCAGTTAAAATGTTTTGAATTGATGTTCCCCCTGCCCACCATGGAGAACAAAGCCAGTGGTGTGCATGTCTCCCAGTACCTGCTACAAGAGGCATCCCAAAAGTGTTGCTGGGAGCCAGGCTGTGATACAGGACAAAAGAAGCTGAGAGGCCTCCATCCTCTTCCCTCCTTTTCTCCCCTACCCCAGTCACTCTAGAAAGTTCTTTGGGAAATTCTCTGGGCCGAATGAGTTAATATGAACAGACCTCCTGGAGCCGGTAAGAGGCAGAGCTGGCAAAGAGTCTCGACTTTGGGTCCACCATCTTTTGGAGCCTTCCACGATCAATGACTAGGCAGTGCTGGTGACAAGAGATACAGACTGGAATGGAAGGTTCTAGTGTCTGCCAACATATCTTCTTTCTCACAGTTCCTAATGATCCATTTGTGCTTTTTCAGCCCTTCATGTTAAGAGAACCTCAGGGTGGAGCCCATATCCTGACTGCCTCCTTCCCACATGGGCACCTATGTGGCATTAGGCTGCCTGGATCTGAATGGGTGACCTGGGGTGCGCTGGCCTGGGGGATCAGGAGCTAGTGGTCCAGCCCTGGCTCTGCTGACTGCCCTTGAGTGCCCTTGGCCATGGCCTCTTTTCTCTGGGGCTCCCCCAGATTGCCAATGAGTTGCTGGCTTTCTCCTGTAAATGCCCTTGGAGTCTTGGCACATGAACTGGGCATGCTTACTTCCCTGGAACAGGTAACGAATCAAAAGCCCTTGAGGAGCAAAGCAGTTCATAGAGCTCTATCTGGGCAGCTAAGTGGATGGTTGCCCTGTGATGGAGGAAGTGCTTTGATGGAGATGTAGGCCAGCCATTGTATGAAGCCAGAGAGACCTGTGGGGGACAGCTGCAAAGAAGAAATGATGTTGGAGATGGAGTTTGAAGAAGAGTGGCTGGCCCTGCAGGACCAGGTGCCCTGAGGCAGGTGAGCTGAGCAGAGGACAGTGCTGCTGATGAGCTGCGGGATACCGGAGGGAATAGCGCCTGTGTAAGCTGCACTTGCTGGGGTTTGGTGAGGGAGGAAATGAGGGAGGACAAGGGAAGTCACATCCAATGGTGTTTCAGTTCAGCAGAAGGTAGAGCTTTCTACTAGCAAGGGCTGTCTCATCCAGAAAGCTAAGAATCTTCCAGGGGCAATGGGCACCAGAGCCCAGAGGGCTGGGGCCAGAGGCCTCAACCATTGCCATCCTGTCTGGCAAGCCCTCCTCCTCGTGGATTCCAGTGCTTCCCTGTTTTGAAGCCATGGACCCCATGATGGAACAGCCAGCCACACACACACACAGGGGTGACGATGAGGCCTGGGAGCCCCACTCTGCCCTTGGCATGTCTCTCCTGGCCCCTCCCCCGACAGCTGCTGGCCCCCTCCACTCACTAGTTTTTATTAGGCCACAGTCCTCTTTGAGAAGCTGGTGAAAGCCATGTGCCCTTTCATGCCAACACACACACACCCACACACACCCACAAACACACCCACACACCCACAAACACACACACCCACACACACACCCACACACCCACACACACACCCACAAACACACACACCCACACCCACCCACACACACACCCGCACACCCACAAACACACCCACAAACACACCCACACACCCACACACACCCACCCACACACACACACCCACAAACACCCACACACCCCCACACACACACCCACACACACAAACACACCCACAAACACACACACACACCCCCACACACACACACACCCACACCCCCAGAGGCTGCATCGAATTTAGGGAGTTCACAGACTCCTCAAGCCCCATCTGAATGGCAGGTTGGGAACCTCTCTCTGCTTCAACCCAGTCTCATGGGCTGTGCCTTTCCCCATTCCTGGGACCACTTTCTTTTGTTGCTACTGTGACTCCAGGATTCCAAGACAGGGAGGTTTCCTGAGCACCCACTATGCTGTGGGGACACTGATTGCCTCTGTCCTTAAGAACTCCTGGCCTGGTGGGGGCAGGAAAAAGCACAAATAGGAAACACAAAATGAGGTACAGGTCAGGGGCCCCAGGCTGGGAATCCAGAGAAAAGAGGTGGTTTCCAACTGGGAGGATTAGGCATGGCTTTTTAGGGGAAGGGAACGGGCCATTCTGGAGCTGGGACACAGTGGGGAGAGGACATCGCATGCAGTCATGACAGCCTGAGCAGGGGATGCATGACAGGGCGTGAACAGGAAACCGTGGTTCCATTTGGCTACAACACAGCAGGTGTGAAGACCAGTGGAAGGAGCTGGAAATGTGGGCTGGGAGAAAATCGGACCCTGCTTTAGTGTTTTTAGCAGAGAGACTGGATACCCTAGGTGTACACATAGCAGCTGGATGGGAGGAGGGGCGAAAGTAAGCAGACAGATCAGGTCGGCTGTCCCAGGACACCTGACCTAGGTGCAGATGGGGTCAGGTGCTGAACTAGGTCAGTGTCGATAGGGAAGGGAAGGAAGAGGGATTGAATGCGATCATCCCAAAGGACACGCAGCACTTGGCAATAGGGCTTCTAGCTGTCCCCAATCTGGGAGAGAACTGCCTTCCCTTGGCCCCGATTCTCCAGATGGGATGTGACACGAGGGACAGACATAGGCCTGGGTCCGCACTCTAGGATGCCATCAGCTGTCAGGAAAGAAATGGGTGGGGGTGGCCCCCAGGCCCTGGGCCTGTGAGTAGGGCAAGTTCAGTCTTGCAGCAGCCAAGGGGAGGTTCTAGCTGGACTCAGTGATCTGCAGGAAGGCTTCTTCACTGGTCAGAAACCATCCACAGGGCTTGTGAAGAGAGTGCTGGCCCAAGCCCAGGGTCTCGGTTCAGTAGCTCCGGGGTGGGGCCTGATGGTTTCTAACAAGCTCTCAGCGGGTACTGAGGTTATGGTTTCCTGGTGGTTAGACTTTCTCCAAACGGGTGGGTCGAGATAGGTGTGGGTCAGGAATGCAGGGAAATACAAGGAGCGGCTGGGAGGTCGTCAGCTTGGCCAGCGGGGGGCTCAGGGTCTCTGTGCACAGCCTCACCTTTCGGATCTGAGCAGGCACTGTTTCTGCAACTGTTCTGCCGTGATCGCCACCTGGGCCAGGCTTGCTTGCAGCCCTATGTCCCTCTCATAGCACCCTGCACTTTTCTTTTTTGGAAACTTCAGCAGTTTTGAATAATCTATTGGTCTGTGGGCTGCGTGTTTTATTCACCACTGAAGCGCAGGGCAGGGCCCAACGATTATCTGTGGTCTAATGAGTGAAGAGAGGGCAGAGAAGACGTTCCATGAGGGACATCTTTGGTCTAGATGGCAGCTAGTATTTTTCTGAGCGAGTGGTTAGGTCGAAGCTGAGGGCAGTTTGGTCCTTGGTGCTCATCAGCAAGGTCTGCTGGCCTCACCCACTCCGGGCCCGACACCATCCTCCCACCAGCTTAGAGCTGCTCTGCGGCTTCATTCCAGCCTGAGTGGCCTCCTCCCTCCCTCTCACTCCCCACAGGAAATCAGGTGCTGAGCGCGGACCCCCTCCAGGCCATTTCTTGTAAGGCTTCATTTCTACCCCCAACCCTACCGCCCCCGCCCAACTCCATCATCGCGTGGGCCTTTGTTGCTTCTTGTCTGAAGGCTCCACGTAAGAGCCACGATGGTTTCCTTGATTCTTGGCCACCACTGCCTGGGAGATAAAAGTACATCCCCTTCAGCTTTGCACCATCAGCCAAACCAGGCTGGCACGTCTGTCCTTCACTGAATCTAAGACACCGTTATCTCATGGACCCCTAAGAAACACAACGTGCTGCTAATTAAACTATGACATGCCATTGACTGTGACCCTCTGACATCTTTAGCCTGAAATGCCAACTTCGACAGTGAAGTCTCACTGCTTATCCATTCTTCAAGGTCCGACTCAAGGCATCACCTCCTCGACAGAAGCTGAACATTTACCACTGCGTCTTAAGTGTGTGTATCATGTCCTGCCTGGCATTACAGGGGCTTGCGAACATATCTTAAGTCCATGATTCTAAGTGCCTTAGGGGCAAAGGCTGTCTTATTTATGTTTATATCCCCCTGCCCCATCAGCAGAGGGCAGCACAGTCTCTCCTCATTCCGAGGAATTATCCTCTACGCTATGCCCTTTGGAAACTGGCCTGAAGGGTTCTGAGGGTGAGCTGCAGGGAAGGAGCCCCTCCTGCTCCCTGGCTTACTGTCGCCCAGCCCAGTGTCCCACATTAGGAGAGGAGCTGAACAGATGAAACAGGGTGCCACTGGGCTGGATCACTGCCTTGCCTCTCAAAACAACAGAACTCTGTTGATAAGAGAAATGTTTTGTGAAAACAGTGCAAGCCTGCTGTGGCGGCGCACATTTGCTCTCAGGAGGCTGAGATGGGAGGACTGCTTGAGCCCAAGAGTTCAAGGCTGCAGTGCTCTATGATTGGGCCTGTGATTAGCCAGTGCACTCTCAGCTGGGCAACAGACACACTCAGACTCTGTCTCTACAACGACCACAACAAAAAACAATGCAGGCAGGCACGGCAACGTACCTGAAAGAGAATGTGGAACATGTAAGGAGTTGAACAAGCAACAGAGACTGGGGAGGAATTACAGTCATTTCAGCTTTCAGCTTTTGCTCTAAGCTCACTGTCAGTATGAAATGTATATGTAAAGTCTCACCTGTGTGTTAACAGCTTCTGTTTTTCTTCTGGGATATTTTGAAGATAGAGTATCTTGAACAAAGTCTAGAGGCTTCACTCTAGTATTGGTCTGCATGGAAATGGTTCTCCATCAGAACTAACAAATGGGTTGTAGCTTCCTACAGCTTCCTTGATTATGTACAAGGACACTGGAATGAAATGTATAAACCAGAAGAGGGGGCAAGGGAGGGGGTAAACAGAGAGACACAAAAAGACAGAGAACAAATCGGTATAATATGAAGCTGCCTGCTTCAAGAAATCCAAATCCAGTTCCATGAAGGAAGAAATGTCTGTTTTTGCCGCCCTCATCGTCACGGAAAGAGTAGGGTGCGCTCTCTGCCTAGCAGAAGGAGTCACAGGCTCAGAGCAAACTCATTCAAAGGATGTTATTTCATCAATCCACAGGGGAAGGAGTGACTGGCTGAGCAACGTGTCGAGAGAGCCCAGCCTCCAGTGTCCCTCACTTGACCCTCCGCAGGTGGCGAAAGCTCTGCACGGTCCTCTCCATAGCATCATCCATGGTCACTAGTGGCTGGTAGCCCATGGCCTTTTTGGCTCTCTCGCAGCTGTAGTAGTGGAATGTGCCAGCCAGTGCGACCCGCATGGGTGTGAAGGTGGGCTGCAGCTGGATGACAGGACTGATCACCATCACCAGCAGGGATAGCAGGAGGGCCAGGTAGTAGGCCACCCAGTAGGGGATGTGGTACTTGGGGGCCTCATAATTGAGGCCTGTCAGGATGCGAGACAGGAATGTCCAGAAAGGGATGGGCTCATCATTGGTGATGTGAAATGCCTGGCGGGAGAACAAGAACAAGAAGTTAGAAACACCACCCCCACCTGCCCAAAGTTGAAGCATCTATTAAGCCCGTGCAGATCGCATTCTCACTGCCTAATTGCTGCAGCTTTCCACGTGGCCTGCCCTCAATTGCACAACTGCTAAGGCATAGAAAGGGCAGACAATGAAAGTTTCATCTATGGGCCAGGATTTTAAATGAAGCATAGATTGCACTTGGAAAGGCACATTTGTTAATTTGATAATTGTTAATCATCATAAAACTCATCTACATATCTTTGGATGCAATGAATTCCTCATATTACATTTCTTGACGGTGTTCTGCTTGTTTTAAATCAAAAGCCACACCCGGGCCAGGCGCGGTGGCTCACGCCTGTCACCCCAGCACTTTGGGACGCAGAGGCGGGCAGATCACCTGAGGTCAGGAGACCAGCCTGGCCAACATGGTGAAACCCCGTCTCTACTAAAAGTACAAAAAATTAGCTGAGCGTGGTGGCATGTGCCTGTAGTCCCAGCTACTCGGGAGGCTCAGGCATGAGAATCGCTTGAACCAGTGAGACGGAGGTTGCAGTGAACCGAGATCACGCCACTGCACTCCAGCCAGGGTGACAGAGTGAGACTGTCTCAAAAAAAAAAAAAGAAAAAAAAAATGCCACACCCACCCTATTCCCAACTTATTTGAAGGTTATCAGTGGGGAAACGGCAGAGGTTCAGGAGAATAAAAGAGGACCAAACAGCAAGGGAGGGAGAGACCTGAGGAATGAGTGGGAGAAAGGGTGAGGAGCAAGCACCCTGCCCAATCTACGTGGGCTCCTGCCACAAGGAGCCATGCCAACAGGTGGGCAGCCAGGTCAGGGGACCATAGATGACCGTGACCTGAATGTCTGTTCAATCCCAGCTCGTCAGCTCTCCAAATTTGGCTGCCCAAGTGATGTGACGCTGCAGTGACACCACATGCTCTATCAGAGGGGCTTGATCTTGGCACAGGGGGTCCTAAGGCAGATCCTCCATGATACAGGATCACAGGAGCAACTTGCCAGCAAATCCAATGGCAAGGAGAAGAAACCCGCAGAAAGGCACCTGTGCAGGGACCGGTGCAGCAGGCCTTACCTTCCCACCCAGTGTCGAGTCTCGGGAGAGCTGCTCTGCCGCCAGGATGTGTCCATGGACCACGTTCTCCACAAAGGTGAAGTCCACCAAGTTCTTCCCATTTCTGCAGGTGCACAAGGGATGATGGAATACGTGCTGGGAGCCCCTGCACGAAGGCCAGGGCCACTCCCAAGTCTTGGCATTTGAGAGACTGTGACCTACAGAATGGCTGCCACCTCACTTGGCAAGGCCGGCCCAGGCACTCATGGATGCCTGTACTGGTTAAAGATGTACACTGGGCCGGGACTCCTGGGTCTTCAGGGTTAGTGGAATCTGAAAGCTGGGGGACCTGCCCACCCATTCCAGCATGGCCAACACTGGTGCTGTCTCTCCTGTCCCGATTTGGGTAGCAGCTTTTCAGCCCCTTCCCAGGAGACACGGGGCCAACGCCTTGCTCTGGTCCTCCGTTTATTGACCAGTCTCCCTGTAATCCTTCAAGGTGACAAGTCAGGGTAGCAGTGAGGCTGAGTGAGAAACAGGAAGGCAAGGCAGAGGGAAAAAGGAAGGAAGAGAGAGAGGAGAAAAGGAGGAAATGAAGGAAGAGAAAGCCTATTTGGGAGAGAGGCACACTGTTGTCCCCTGTGGAGGCCCCTCCACCTGCACTTAACCCGAGGAGAAAAGTAATGCCCCCGCCTGCCTTCCCAGATGCAAGGACAGTCAAGCCCTGGCCTTTGACCCGGGGCCCATTGCTTTCCCTCTGAGTCACGGTTTCTTCAATTTCCAAACAGGGTCACAAATACCTTCCCAGCCTACCTGAGAGGGTACACTGGATTGAACAGTATCCTCCCAAAGCTTCTGTCCACTTGGGCCTTGTGAATGTGACCTTATTTGGAAATAGGGGCTCGGCAGATGCAATTAGTTAAGCTGAGCTCATACTGGGGTAGGGTGGGCTTTAAATCCAGGGAATGATGTCCTTATAAGAGGGAAATTTGGACACAGAAAGCAAGGAACACAGCCATGTGAAAGGGACGCAGAGGCAGGAGTGATGCCTCTCCAAGCACAGAATGCTAAGGATGGCTGGAAGCCAGCAGAAGCTAGGGCAGAGGCCTGGAACAGACGCTCCCTGCGAACCTCCAGAAGACACTAGCCCTGCCAACATCTTAACTGAGGACTTCTGGCCTCCCAAAATGTGACAGAATCCATTTGTTGTTTTAAGCACTTACTTTGTGGCAGGTTGTTATGGCAACTACAAGAAATGAATACAGAGGACAGCGGACAAGGTCACTGCTATCGCCTGAATCTTTGCATCCCCGCAACATTCATATGTTGAAACTTAACCTCCAGTGCAATGGTACTGTGAAGAGGGACCTTTAGGGGGTGATTAGGTCATGGGGGCTCTGCCCTCGGGAATGGGATTAGTGTCCTCATAAAAGAGGCCCAAGGGAGCCTGTTTGCCCCTTCCACCATGTGAGGACATGGTGAAAAGGTGCCACTCATGAGGAACAGGGCCTCAATGGACACCCAGTCTGGGAACGCCTTGATCTGGACTTCCCAGCCTCCAAGCTCTCTGTTGTTTGTTACCCAGTCTTAGGTATTTTGTTACAGCAGCCTGCATGGACCAAGACAGTCACATAAGAAAAGAGCTACAATGCCATGTGGCTCCTGCCAAGTGCTCTCTGAATGCGAGCATGGACCAGGAAGGACTAGGGAAGAGCCGCTGTGGGCTGACTCACCCAATCACGAACTTCATCTTGCCGTTCCTGGCTGCCTCGATGAGGATGGGTACCAACTGCGGGTCCCTTGGGCCGAAAATGCCATGAGGGCGGATGGCTGTGGTTAAGAAATTCTTCTCAGGATCGTTGGCGCCCAGAACTGCCTGGAGGAGAGTGGGAGAAGGGGCACGTCCATTGCAAATTCCTAGGCCCAAGCCAAGAGAGTGCCTCGCTGGGTGAGAAGCACCACTCGTGGGGGACAGACAGATGACACACTCTGCTGGCATGTGGCCACTGAGCAGTGGTCTGCCTTGAGCTGACAACCTACATCAGTGGCTGGTATAATTCTGGGCTACCTCTCTACCCCACCCACCCTCACACCAAAATCTGAAAATGCAGGACAGACAGCTGGGCAAAAACTGGTAAGATCAAATCAGAAGGCCCTGGTTTGCGTTCAAAGGCTAAAATCCACCAACACTGCCAGAAGACATGCCTCGGCAGCAGTTTGTGGAAAACGTCCAAAGGTTCTGGCAAACAAGTTAGCCGTGAGCCTCCAGTGACTTGAACTGCATGTGCCGCCCACGTTTCCACCAGGCCGGGTCTGTTCCAGGCAATTCTGAGTATCACCTCCGAGGGGAGGGCTCTGAGAAACCCAAGTGGGCCCAGAAGAGGGTCAGAGAAGGTGAAGGGTCTGAAGACCATGCCTGGGGAGAAACAGGCCAGCAGCTGGGGGGCAAAGGAGGCCGAGACATGTAAAGTCCTCAGAGCAGTGCCTGGTCCAGAGCCAGTGCTCCTGTTGCCACCGCAAGGAAAGGGTGACTTCTGTGTGACTTCATGGACAAACTAGAACTCAAGAGTCTAAAGCACAGTGAAATGGGTTTCGCCTCAAAAGTAACAAAACTTTCCAAAGGATTTGTTTTATCGTGGGTAAAAGTGGTGATCATAAAGGTACCTACCCTGACGGGGCTGCATGCGAATTACACGAGATGGCCCATGTGAGTTGCTTCAGTGCGTGTCTGTATGCTTGGTAAGTACGGTTCCTGCTGTCATGTCACCTCGGGTTTCTTCTACTCTATGGTAGCAAAGTGCTGGTCTATGTTTTGGCCCCAGTGATCTTAAGCAACTCAACAATGGAAAAGCTGCCTCTCAACAGATTCCCAGAGCTGGCCCTCCTCTTCCCGCCAGGACTCTGGTCCCCACAGCGATGGAGGAAATGACTAAATAAACCCTCAAATGGCTTCCACCAAGGCTCATCTCTACTACTAAAGGGAAGAGAGGTGAAGGAGTCCTAGCTCCCCATCACATTTGGTTTATGATCAGTAGGAAGGTTATAAAGCCAACAGTGGATGTCAACCTCGGCTGAAAGGAGGCTTCCGGTGAGTTACTGCTGGAGTCATCTGCAGGCTTTGCTTATTTCCAGTTGAGAACCCAAAAGTTGATATAAGCGAGACACTGATGGTCTGGGCCAAGGCCATCATTTGAAGCTCCTGAGCCTAGATGGGCTCAGCTCTGGTGGCAATCAGTATCAGGCATATTGGGTTGAGAATACACAGGGTCTCCATGGTGACTGAACTGCCTGCAAGGCGCAGGGAGGCTTTAGTACTCCTTGGGCCAAGTTCGAGCACATGAGTGCTCCAAGGAGCAAGACAGCATAGTCTGGAGCCAGGACTGTGGCTTGCCAAAGTTCAAGCCTCCACCCCTGGTCTGGGTGGCCCTTGTGTCTCCCTGTGGACCAGTTCTGCCAGGACTTTCTGAGCTGAAGCAACAGCAGACAGGCTGGGCATGGTGGCTCACGCCTGTAATCCCAGCACTTTGAGAGGCCAAGGCGGGCAGATCATGAGGTCAGGAGTTCGAGACCATCCGACCAACACGGTGAAACCCCGTCTCTACTAAAAATACAAAAATTAGCCGGGCATGGTGGCACGCGCCTGTAATCCCAGCTACTCAGGAGGCTGAGGCAGGAGAATCGCTTGAACCTGGGAGGTGGAGGTTGCAGTGAGCCGAGATCGTGCCACTGCACTCCAGCCTGGGCAACAGAGTGAGAATCCATCTCAAAAAAGAAAAAAAAAAAAAATACGGCAAACAGCCAGGAGGCAGCTGGCTCTCAGGTAGCCAGGTCAGTGTTCAGCTCCAGTACAGCATGTACCGGCTTTGCGAGAAAACCTCAGTGGGTGTGATACACTGCACACACCTGGGAGGGGTATACTCACAGCTACCCAGCTAAGACGAGCTATCCCAGGCTCAGGAGCACTCCTGGCCTGCAGCTTAGGATGGCCTCAGGGTGACAATCCCCATCTGCAGCTAGCAGTTGTCAGGGGCCCCACAGCCCCAGCAGCCTGAAGGCTTGGTAGCGACCGTGGCTGAATCCAACCATACTAAAATCAGGTGCCCTTTGATGAAGCTGTTTTGCCAAGTGGAAAAGTACTTTTTCCTTAAAATAAAGCAAGATCCTTCCGTTGTTTGTTTTTCTAAGTAAGGGAGGGGGTGAGAGTGCCACTAGGAAGGTGCCTCCAGCCTGATTCCTGTCTGCACGCTTGCAACTGCTGTAAATTCCCATAGCAGGCGAGGAAGCTCCCATGGCATTGAGGGTGGGCTGTAAGCTCTGTAGACAGACTGCCTGGGGTCAGCCACCTCCTAGCTGCACAGTTTTAGAAAGGTTCTGAGCCTCTCTGTGCATCTGTGCACCACAGTCTTCATCTATAATCTGGTGATGATGCGATAATTGTGACCTTTAAACAAGGAAAATACTCCTGGAAAACACTCAGAACAGTGTCTGGCCACATAAAGCTGTTCTCATAGTAACTTTTTTTTTTTTGGGAGACAGCGTCTCTCTCTCTCTATCCCCCAGGCTGGAGTGCAATGGCACAATCTCGGCTCACTGCAACCTCCGCCTCCCAGGTTCAAGCAATTCTCATACCTCAGCCTCCCAAGTGGCTAGGATTACAGGCGCCTGCCACCATGCTGGGCTAATTTTTGTATTTTTAGTAGAGATGGGGTTTCGCCATGTTGGCCAGGCTGGTCTCGAACTCCTGACCTCAGGTGATCCACCCACCTCGGCCTCCCAAAGTGCTGGGATTATAAGCGTGAGCCACCGTGCCCGGCCTCTCACAGTATTTTTAAATTTAATTTCACCCACAAATTTTACATCTCAAATCAGGTACGTAGGCCTCAGAATACAAACTTCATAAGTTCATAAACATTTTTCTTAGGATTCTAAACCCTTCAGTCTGCTCACTCAACCAGTTCCAAGGTACATACCCTCTCCTGTAAGATCTTAGTCTCTGTGTAGTAGTCAATGGGTTTCATGGCATAGGGAAGGTCTTCAGTTCCATTCTTGATATCGACGCCCTCAAAGATGACACTGGCACTGCTGGTTAAAATGAGTTTCTGACAGAGGAAGGTCAGAAAAAATAAAAGTCACAAATTATCACAATTCAAACAGTGCATGATCCTGTATGAAAGAGAATCAGGGGCATCCCTTTGTTGCCCTCGCATTCGAGGCACTGAAGAAATTATTTGCTGCAATGCCTTTGCTTTTCATGCCTTCTTAAAATAATCCAAAGATCACCATCTTTTGCAGCTATGTGGATTCCAGACACACTATGTATTACATTCTAACCAAGAATCAAGAGATCTTGGTTTCAAAACAAGGGATAACACATTTTTTCTATCCCATCACACCTGAGAGATAGAATAGACTTGCATTCATGGTATCTCACTATGACAGCGATTCTCTGTTGTAAGTGAAGGGCAGCCCGCAAACTTCTAGGAAGATGTCTGAAAAAGATCACTGGCTATTCTGATAGTGACCTGGCCATGTGAACACACATAGGAATACACACACCACACGACCTCTTAAGAAATGCTATTCTAAAGGAAGATATTCTCTTATGAGGGTCCCCAGCGTCCAGCCTGCTGGTTAAGAGAAGCTCATCCAACACTGAACACCATTAGCATGAATCATATCGTTCCCATTCTTATTCAACATTGTATGAGAAGCTCTAGCCAGAGTGGTAGGGTAAGATAAACACGAATTTATAATGATTTGAAAAGAAACTGAACTTCCATCGCTTACAGATGAGAGAAAAATCTACACAGAAAACACAGGCAAATATGTAGAAAATATTAGCGTTTGGCAAAGTTGCTGAATTAAAAATCAATATACAAAAATTAACTCGTCTTATATATTAGCAATAACTGAAAATGTAATAGAAAGTTATTAAATAACAAAAAACGAAGTACATACAAATAAATTTAACGAGATATGCAAAATCTTTACGAAGTAAAGTATAAAACTCTATTGATGACATTAAAGAGCGAGATAAACAGAAACATATCCCATATTTATGGACAGGAACACTCAATATGGGAAAGATGTCAATTCTCTCCAAAATTACCTACAAGTTCAACACAATTACAACAGCAGTCTCAGCTGGCTTTAGCAAGGAACTGGTTAAGCCAAACATATGTAGAAGAACAAAGGGCTCAGAATAGCCAAGTGAAGTTTGAAGAAATTGGTTGGGGGCGTGATTTATCTACGGTACACTGAGACTTATCCTAAAAAGGCAGAGCTTCTCTGCATGGGCAGACAGGGAGGTCAATGGGGCAGAGGGGAGAGCCTGGGAACAGGCCCATGTAAGACACAAACACCTAAGACATGCTGCAGATGGTGTGCAGCGATGCAGAAAGGATGGATTATGCAATAAATGGCACTGAACTGGTTATACACATGGAAGAAAGTTAGATCTCTATCTCACACCATAAGCAAACATAAATTCCTGGTGGATTAAAGACTGAAATGTGGAAAGCAACACTTAAAACCTTTGAGGAAAAAAAGTACATTAAATAATCTTTTGATCTCAGTGTTGGAAAATGTTCCTTCAATACAACACAGCAATCACTTTCTGCACTCTTACCCACTAAGCCACTCTGCCCCTTCAGTAAATAAACCAGAGTTACATATGCCAAGATGAATAAAGAAAAACATAACACTGGGGAAAAAAGCAAGTTGCAGGAGGATCTGTTCAATAAGATATCATTGTATAAAATCTTATAACATGCAATCCAATACTTTATATTGCTTACACATGGAGCAAATGGAAATAAACCCAAATTCAGAATTGCTATCCATGGCTACAAGAAGAGAGCAATGGCATCGAGGATGGGCACACATTACACATGCCAGTAATGTTGTTTCTTAAATGCTGTGGTGAGTGGAGAGGTGCTGTTTTATTCTCAAATCTTGTTGTTTTTTTAATTTTTTTTTTAAGAGACAAGGTCTTGCTCTGTTGCCTAGGCTGGGGTGTAGTGTTGGGATCACAGCTCACTGCAGCCTGAAAATCCTGGGCTCAAGCGATCCTCCTGCCTCAGCGTCCCGAAACAGTTGAGGCTACAGGTGCATACCACCACACCTGGCTTTTAAAAATTCGTGTAGAGGTGGGGTATTGCTATGTTGCTCAGGCTGGTCTTGAACTCCTTGGCTCAAGGGATCTTCCTGCCTTGGCCTCCCAAAGCGCTGGGATTACATGTGTGAGCCGCCACACCTGGGGCACAAATCTTTGTTGTATGCCCCCAACCTTCCATTTAACAAAGAGCAGCAGGGCCCTTCCCAGGGCTCCAGTTACATCAGCATGGCTGAGTGCAGAGTCTGGGACTTGGAGAATCTGCTTTGACCCCACCTCTCCCATTTACTAGCAAAGAGACATCGTTTAGCCCCTGGTCACCCAACGAGGAGCTAATTAGGTGAAAACTTCAGCAGGGCAAAGCATCTTGTCAACTGCTAGGGGTCAGTTATAAGTGATCTTTTCCAGGGCCCAAGCCCAGAAGAGCTCCAACCCTGCTGGGCCGGCTGAGGATGCTGCGGACCAGCCAACAGTGCCAGGACAGGTTGTTGGGAGAGGAACCCCCTGGCTTGCTTCAAGTTTTTCTCTTAATTTATGCAGTACCTGTGGCATGCATCCCTGTGAGGGTCAGGATACTGAGCTGACAGGGAGCCGTTTTAGCCAGTGGCTGGAGTCCTCTAAAGACAATTCTAAGAACCAGGATTGGTAACGATGCAGCAAGCTATGATGGGCAGAAAATTCGTATCCCCTCAGGCCTGAGTTATAACACGTTTCTATTGGCTAAGGGTAAACACAGTTTGCTTTTCTTTTAAAATATAAGCAAGGTCTGGAAAACAATGTGGTGGCTCCTCAAAAGGTTAAACGTAGAACTAGTATATGATCTAGCAACCCTACTTCTGGGTAGATGCCTGAAAGAATTGAAAACAGGGACTTGAACAGATATTTGTACACTTGTGTTCATAACACTATTGTTTACAATTGCCAAAAGGTGAAGACAACACAGATGTCCATCCATGGCTGAATGAATAAACAAAATGTGGCCCATCCATACAATGAAATATTGTTCTGCCTGAAAAAGGAAGGACATTCCGACACATGCTACAACATGGATGACCCCTGAGGACATCATGCTCGGTGAAAAGCCAGACACAAAAGGAGAAATACTACATGAGTCCACTTCTGTGAGGTCCCTATAGTTGTCAAACCCATAGAGACAGAAAGTAGAAGGGTAGTTGCCAGGGGCTGGGTAGGGAAGGGCGATTGAGGAGTTGCTGTTTAATGGGTATAGAGTTTTTATTAGGGAAGAAGAAAAAGGTTTAGAGATGGATGGTGGTAATGGCTATACAACATTGTGAGTGTACTTAATGCCACTGAACTCCGCACTTAAAAATGGTTAGGATGGTAAATTGTATGTGATATATATTTTATCACAATAAAAATATAAGCAATGTCTAAGTTCTGCAGCTCTTTAACTGAAGGCCAATAGGCTTGAGGTCCTCAGATGTTCTATTTGTGTGCAGTTAGAATATTACATCTCAAATCAGCCTTGGCAAGCAGACCTTCACCATCTCCAGTGACTCCAAGGGCTTCATTTCTAAGATCTTCCCAACACTTTAAGAAGCAACCCCGCCTAGGCCCAGGGAGACTGCAAGAACTACGGCCTTGCACCCTTAGAAAGGGCCATCACGTGCTCCTGACAGCACTCACTCCAGCCTTCCCCTTACCTGAACCCCAGCCTCTTTGCAAGTTTCAATGACATTCTTGGTGCCAATGTAATTCACTCTATAAAAGAGCTCCTTGTTGTTACTGGATGGTGGGGGTGACGCACAGTGGAAAACTGTGTTTACACCTTTCAGAGCTGGGTACAGATCCTGGAAAAGCAAAGAAAGACAAAATAATCATTCCTGCTTTGACAGGTCAATGGCATTCTCATGTTTTCACCCTCCAACCTGTGGCTTGTAGGTTCCTTGTCTTATAATTCTATAATCAATATGGAAATACATTCTCATAAAAGAATCAATGATACCGAAGTACATGGGATGGAAACCAAGTTGTCCCTTTAATCACCTTCTCCCCACTAACTAGTCCCCAGTCAAAAGGGGTTTGGGGCATGAGAAGCCTGTGGGATCCACACAGAGGCAACATCCTTTTGGGTGGTTCAGAGCAGGCACCTAGGAGGTAAAACTCCCCAGGAAGGTGAACTCAGATAGAAATTATGAATCACATGAAAAAGTTCCACACCATTAAAGACAGTAAATAGCCAATACACAGGCATATTCCTTCCTGTGAAACTTGACACAATACAGCAACCTGAAAGGGATTTTTAAAACAGGTCTGTTTGATTTACTGCTAAAAGGAACAAGAGCTCCTGAGAGAAATGGCTGATTGCAGATCTGGGACAGGAAACACACAAGAGGAACCAGGCACACCTTGTACCAGAGAGTGAGGATGCTAGCTAGCTAAGACTACCGGGGTCACGTTAAAAGCACTCAAGGGCCAACCTGAAGAGGTTCCCACTGGGCAAAGAAGGGACAGCTTGACCACAAGCAAGAATAAAAATTCAGGTAAATAAAGGGAAAGAATCAAATATTTATTCTGCATTAAGGTATAAAGACTGGAGCTACTAAATGAAGACTAATAGCATGTCATCATTTTGTCAAACCTTAATTAAGTAATATGATCTAAGTATGATTCATGTTTGTCACCAAAAGACAATTATGACAATTATGTGCCAATTAATATTTTGCCACAATTTCCTCTCTCTACATACAATCACATGATTTTTTTTTTGAAACCAGTCAAGTAAGTTGCAGACATCATGCTGCCTCTAAACGCTTCACAGGTATCTCCTAAGAACAAAAGCATTCTCCTAAATAACCATAAAACAATGATCACACTCAAGAAACTTAACAGATATGATGTTCTTATCCAATAATTAGTCTATATTCAAATTCCCCCAATTGTCCCAGTAATGTCTTTTATAGCCTTTTGTTTTGGGGTCCAGGATCCAATTGCGCATGACATGTAGTATTTAGTCCTCAGGTCTCTTCCATCTCTTTTAATCTGAGACAAATTCCCGTCTTTTCTGTCTTATTTTAATGCTGCCATTTTTCAAGGGTTTGGGTTATTTTATAGACTGTCCTTCAGTTTGGATTAGTCTGTTTCCTCAAGATTAGATTCAGGCTTAATGGTTTTGGCAAGAATACCACATCAGTGGTGGTGTGTCCTTCTCAGGGAATTACCTCAGGAGGTGCAAGTCTGTCCCACTTTTGGTGATATTAAGTTGGAGCACGTGGTGATGATGATGGCTGCCAGATTCCGGCCATCAAAAAGGTACCTTTTCCTTTGCAATTGATAAGTAATCTGTAGCATGTTAATTCTACCAATTAACCTCAGCATTTATTGATAGTCCTTGCCTGGAACAATAATCAATGTACTGGGTATAAAATGGTGACATTCTAAGTCTAGCCTTTTAATTCATGGCCTTTACATTTATTAGTTGGCATTCCTCTGTAGAGCTTCCCCTTCTCCCTGACCCCAATTGTTATTTTCAGTATTTCTATGGACCCATGGATTCTTTTTTATTTTATTTTTTTGAGACATTGTCTCGCTCTGTCGGCAAGGCTGGAGTGCAGTGGCATGATCTCAGCTCACTGCAACCTCTGCCTCCCGGGCTCAAGCGATTCTCCCGAGTAGCTGGGATTACAGGCGTATGCCACCATGCCCGGCTAATTTTTTTGTATTTTAGTAGAGATGGGGTTTCACCATGTTGGCAAGGCTGGTCTCGAACTTCTGACCTCAGGTGATCCACCTGTCTTGGCCTCCCAAAGTGCTGGCATTGCAGGCGCTAGCCCTGCACCCAGCCCACGGATTCTTTTTGAAATCAAAATGCATTGTCATCCACTACTGTTATGTTTTGAGAGGCTCAAAATGCTCAAAATGTCCCAAATTTGGCCAGGGGAAGCCCTTCAAGTTGGCTCTTGTATCTTCTTGGCAGGTCCCCATTCATTTTGTGCTAAGAAAATGTCCCAGACTCATTTTGTACTGCCCTTGCCCTAGGGTCCTAGAATGAGCAATTTTCCCAAGAAGCCCTAGTTCTTTTTATGGGAAATGGTATATAGAAACCCAAATCTGAGCACTAGGCATGCTTATTACTATTGGAGTATCAGAAGTAATAATACCCCAGAGGGAAAAACTGAACCAGAGTCCGATCAAGTCTTTAGTCCAGTAGAAACATAATAAAAGTCACAGTGACTTTAAAGTTTATAGTAATGACATTAAAAAGTAAAAAGAAAAAGGTGAAATTAACTTTAATGAGACAGTTACATTCCTTTTTTCTGTAGGTAGTTTTTGAAATCTGGTGTGGACTTCACACTTACAGTGCTTCTCAATTCTGACTTGCCACATTTTAAGTGCCCAATAGTTGCACGTGGCTAATGGCTGCCTTAATGGACAGCGCCATCCCAGATCTACCAGTATACAGAAAATACTGGAGGACAGAAGGGCATGTTAAACGCAATGGGGATGTAATCGGCAAAACCCAGACTGTGGGAAATACTACAGCACCATAAACATGGTTTCTACTAAACATCAGTTATTCAATAAATAGACTGAAGTTTAAAAAAATGAAGGGAATCGTAAATTAAAAGAGAGCTAAATATTTCAACCAAATCCATAGTCTTGATCTTGCTTGGTTCCTTATTTGGAAAAACAATAATACAAAAACATTTATAAGACATTCAGGGATATCTGAACGCTGGCTAGATACTAAGGAACTACTGTCAATGTTTTTAAAAATAATCCTTATCTTTTAGAGACAAATACTGAAATATTTGCAGATAAAATGATATGATGTCTAGGATTGACTTCAACATAATCTGAGGAGGAATATAGGTGAAACACGATTGGCCATGAGCAGAGGCAGGGAGGAGGAAATCTCCTATGAAATAGTACAAAAAGAGAAAGAGAAGGAATGCAAGAAAGAGAGGATAAGAGACAGATGATACAATGAAAGACCACCATATGTCCAGCACGGCTTCTAGAAAGAGAGAAAAGAGAGAAAAGGGGTAGAGTTAATCTTTGAAGAATTTTCCAGAAATGAGGAAAGACATTCATCTTCAGATTGCACAGGCCTACCAGGTGTTAAGATTTAAAATCAAAACTAAAACTCAGGCCCAGATATATTCTCTATAGACTATAAATGATAAAAAATAAAATCCTAAAAACCATAAGAGGGAAAGCCAGACAACCTACAAACGAACAACGACCGGCTTGAGAGTAGACTTCCTGTCAGCAACAAAAGATGCACAAGACCGAGGTGACTTTAAAAGTGTCATGGGCCGGGCGCGGTGGCAACGGTGGCTCATGCCTGTAATCCGAGCACTTTGGGAGGCCGAGGCGGGTGGATCACTTGAGGTCAGGAGTTCAAGACTAGCCTGGCCAACATGGTGAAACCCTGTCTCTACTAAGAATATAAAAATTAGTCATGGGTGGTGGTGGGCGCCTGTAATCCCAGCTACTCGGGAGGCTGAGGCAGGAGAATTGCTTGAACCCAGGAGGTAGAGTTTGCAGTGAGTCAAGATCACGCCACTGCACTACAGCCTGGGCGACAGCGCAAGACTCCGTCTCAAAAAAAAAAAAAAAAGTGTTATGTAATACATATTGTGTGTATAAAACTATATAACTATATATACATAAACTTTATCTATATGTATGTATATCTGTCTCTCTCCTCTCTCTCTCTCTCTCTCTACTGACTATAAAAACACATTTTTAAAAAAAAAGAAATGGGGGGGGTCTTGTTATGTAGTCCAGGTTAGTCTTGAACTCCTGGCCTCAAGTGATCCTCCCACCTTGGCCTTCCAAATAGCTGGGGGACTACAAGTGCATACCACCACACCCAGGTGAAAGTACATTTTAAAAGTCCTTCTCGGCTGGGCGCAGTGGCTCACACCTGTAATCCCAGCACTTTGGGAGGCAGAGGCGGGCGGATCACCTGATACAAGGAGTTCAAGACCAGCCTGGCCAACATGGTGAAACCCTATCTCTACTAAAAATACAAAAATTAGCCGGGTGTGGCGGTGGGCACCTATAATCCCAGCTATTAGGGAGGCTGAGGCAGGAGCATCGCTTGAACCTGGGAGGCGGAGGCTGCAGTGAGCTTAGATTGTGCCACAGTCTGGGCAACAGAGCAAGACTATGTCTAAAAAAATAAAAATAAAAATAAAATAAAATAAAATAAAATAAAAAAGGTCCTCTCCTGCCATGTCTTTCACCCACATCACATCGACCTTGGACTTAGCTTAGATTTCATGATCCACCAGCACCACCTTTGCCTTGTTCCCCTCTCCCTTTATTAAATTTGTCTAGTAAACTCCAACCCTGGTTAAATGCAACTCGCCCCTTCTCCACGCTTGCGGCTGAGCAGTTGAGTGTGGCTGGAGAACAACATGGCATGCTGGAGGGTTCCCTTGAAATCTGTACTCAAGGAAAGCTGAAATAACATACTAGCAACAACAGCATGGCAGCGGGGGAGCCTTTTGGAGAGAAGTGAAAGCTTGCTAAGGATTCTCGTCTCCTTTGAGGGGACAAAGCAGTGATCGAAAAACAAAATTCCTGCTTTTGTGGAGTTTACATTCTATGGTAGAGAGGACAAATTTCAGAGATTTCCTCTGCTCTGTATCCGCTCATGGTCAATCATGTTTCAATCAGGACAAATAAGCAAACAAACAAGTAAATCTAGAGGACGTCCGTACTGGCAGGTGTTATGCAGAAACTAGAGCAGAGTAAGGGAGACCAGCGGGGGCCTGTTCCTTAGCACAGGGTGGCTGGAGATTTACAGGAAGCTAGGGAGCAAGTTCTGTGGTTCAGGAAGAGCATTCCTGACAGAAAGGACACCAAGTGCAAAGGTCCTGAGGCAGAAACTTGGTTGGTGGCCAGTGTGCCTGGGGCAGAGCCATGAGGCGGGTGTGGGAGGAAGTGGGCCAGACAGGTAGTGGGGACGTGCCGTGCAGGGCCTCATGGGTGATTACAGAGGCCTCTGTTTGCTTGACATGGGACTGGACGCCACTGGAGGCTTCTGTACAGAGGGCGGTGTGATCTGATTTATCCATTAAGAGTCCCTCTAACATCTAGGTGAGACAGTGATGGTGGCTTGGACCAGGGTGGCAGCAATGGAAGGGGTGAGAAGTTGTTGGATTGGGGATCTATTCTGAGTGGAGCCAACAAGATTTCCTGATGGATGGGATGAAGGGCATGAGAGAGAAAGGAATCGGGCAGGGATGAATCTAAGGTTTTTGGTTGATGGAACTGGAAAAGCAGAGTAGGCCATTTATGGAGATAGAGAAGACTTAGCAGAAATAGGTTTGCTGTGGTGGGGGAGGGGCTTGCGTCAGGGAACCAGGAGCTTAATTTTGGATGTAGCAAGCTTGAAGTGTCCATGAGGTATCCAAACAGGGATGTCCAGCAGGCATACACACACATACGCTCACACACACACACACACACACACACGTGCCTGAGAGAGCTAGGGGTTGGAGATAACAAGCAGGGAGCACATCAGCTTCTAGACAGTAATTAATCCATGAGATGGGATGGAGTCACTGTGACACTGTCTAAACTTGGAGAAGAAAAGAGAATAAGTTCTGGAGTCTGCAAAGTTTAGAAATGATAGTGATCAGGAGACAATCAGTGAGGCAGGAGGAGAAATGAGTGAGGTGGTATCTCAGAAGGCAAGCAAAGAAAGCATCAGATGCTGCTACAGGGCCAAGTCAGAGGAGGACTGAGATTCAACCACCAGATATGGTTGCCTCAAGGTCCCTGGTGGCAGTGACTGGGTAGGGAAGAGGAGGTGGCTTCCAGCTGGCACCAGGATGGGCACTTTGGTGGGGATGAGGCGTCCTCGGGAACAGCAGGGGAGGCTGAGTAGAGACGTGGATGTGGGCAGGTTTGTGGAGATGGTGCTTGGTGGTACCAAGGGTCTGCTTGAGGGCCATGGCCATGCACAAGGCAAGATTTAACCAGGGTGGGGGTTACAATGTGAAGTACACTGTGGTGGCCACATTTATTTGCCACCTGGGCCAGGCTCTAGTCCCCGGTGACTCCATTAAACAGTGTAGGTGTTGCTGTAGAGGTATTTTGTAGCTGTGGTTGACATCTACAACCAGCTGACTTTAAGTAAGGAGATTACCCTTGCTACTCTGGACAGGCAGTATATACTCAGTTCAAAGACCTTAAAAGTGAAACTGAGGTTTCTGTAAGAAGAAATTCTAACGTGGGACCACAGCATCAATTCCTGCCTGAGTTTCTGGTCTGCCCTACAAATTTCAGACTTGCCTAGTCAGCCCCCACAATCATGTAAACCAATTCTGTGAATTAAATCTCAACCTCTCTTTCTCCGTCTCACCCACCCATCTCTCTCCTTGCCCTTCTCCACACATCCCCCTGCTGGTGTTTCTCTGGAGAAACTTTATGGATACATACAACCAGAAGAGAAAGGGGAAGGGGTGAAGACTATGCAAGCGAACAAGCAGACCAGGGAACTAAAGGCAGTGAGGCACGAACAGGCTGAGCCATGGTGGGCATGGCTGGATGTCTGGGTGGGGTTAAGGAATCGGGACAGCTGAGGCACTAGAGGGCATGAGCTGGACAGAGAGGAGCTAGTGCTCAGAGTAGAATGCCTGCAACTGAGAAGAAGGAGAGGACGTGCTTACTGGTGATGACAGGGGAGTGGAGGGCAACATCATTGGGTGAGAGGAGGCCAAGGATGAGAGAGGCGAGGGCATTGGTAGGGTCATCTACATGAACGCTGAATTCACCAATAATAATGCCAGAAAGGAGCTGAAATCACTGAGAAATGATGTGGAGTCACTGGGAAGGGGAGCAGGCGGCTGTGGGTGGCCACCACAAGGAGGGAACGGTGTCGGGGTTTGTACAGTCTGAGGGTATCCTCTTCAAAGCTGGAGAGGCTTAGAGCAGCATGAGGGAGAACGGTTCGGAGGCAGCAATGATGAGCATGAAAGATGTCTACCCCATCTCCAGGCCTGGAGGTGTGGGCAGCACGGGAGAGAAAACAACCGTAACTTTGCAGCGGAAGCAATGGCCTTAATATTTCATCAACAAACCATATAGCGAATGACACCAAAGCCAAGAATAAGGGCCCAGTGACAGGCTGAGGGAAGCCATCCATAATAAGTACAACGGGCACAGGATTGGCATCCCAACTAGATCAACAAGGAAGCAAAGGTAACCCCAAAGACAAAGGGGCAAAGGACACAGACAAACATTTCACACAGGAGGAAGCCTGAAAGCCGATCACCCAGTGGCAGAGTGGCTGGTTACTTGGTCAGGGAGGACATGTGACTCTGAACATCAGTGAAGCACCACTTCATACTTCTCAGAATGGCAACACCAAAAAGTCTAGTTATGCCCAGTGTTGGCAAAGATGTGAAGCAATGGGGCTTGTGCCACATTGTGGATATGGAGGTAAAATTGACATAGCAGCTTTGCTGAGCCATTTGGCACCATCTAATAAAATTCAAGATATTCATACCTGTACAACATGGATGAAGCTTGAAAACATCATGCTAAGTGAAAAAAGTCAGGCACAGAGGTACAAATATTACATGATTCCATTTATATGAAATGTCCAGAAGAGGCCAATCCATAGATGGGAAGTAGATGAGTGGCGGCCAGGGGCTGGGAGGGGAAGAGAGGGGATGGCTACAAGATTTCATTTTGGGGTAATACAAATATTCTGGAGTTAGATCATGGGAGACAGTTGCACAGCTTTGTGGATGTACTGAAAATCACTGAATTGCACACTTTAAAAATGTGAAATTTGTGGTACATGAATTATATCTCAATTAAAAAATCAAGACCCTGTGGCCCAGCACACACTTGTTTTGCAGTTGGAACAATACAGCCCATGGACGGCTTTTGAAGTCAAGTTTCACTGGCATACAGCCACAGCCATTTGTTCATTTAAGTGCTGACCATGGCTGCTTTTGTGCTACCAGGACACAGCTGAGTATCTGTGACAGAGATGATGGTTATTCATTCTAAGCAGTAAGAATGTGGTGTTCTTTCCTATAACTTTGAAAATTTTCACAATGAAACAATTGTTTTTCAAACAAATTGGCTGGCTTCTGAGCAAGGGAAGTATCGTGGTTTCCCTTCGTGGGCTCGTGGGAAATCAGCAAGGCTGCATGGTCCATTACCTGTCGGCTGCAGAGGTCACCCAGAAAGAACCGCACCTGGGGATTATCAAACCCTTGCTGGATATCAAATACATTGACAGCATATCCTCTTGCCAGCAACTGCTCCACCATGTGCTGCCCCAGGAATCCAGAGCCACCGATCACTGTGCATCTCTTGGCCTGTGGAAAGAGAGGAACGGTGGGGAAGACCAGGGTAGTGAGGACTGGAAGCTACAGAGTCCAGACTTACATATCATGAGCCACTGCAATGGCAGATATACTTGTTTGTTTGGAACTCTTCTTGAGCCAAGTTGGAAGCTTTATATCATCCTGGTGTTCCATCACTAGTGCAACCCTAACCTTCTCTCCTGGGATCAGTAAGGAGGGAAGAGAGATAGCGAATGACACTGAGATTGACTTTGGTTGGGTTTGATGACAAGATCCATGCTTTGTATTCAGTGAAAGGAAATCAAACCACCTATGACCAAAACTGGACAATCTAAAAAATACCCCAAAAAACAGTGATACCTTCTTGTTCCCGATAGCTGATCCCTGGGCGCTTCTCTAAGGACAAAACAAAACAAAACAAAACGGCAGCCATTTGGTAGCTGATAGCTTGCACTGAAAACAACAGAAAGAAGAAAGCAGTCTCCATACTTGCAGGACAAAGTCAGTCCCTTTCCCTCTCTGGCCACAACAGGGCTGGGCTGTGTGGCTCTGGGCTCATCGCCCAACCCCTTCTTGCCTCAGCCTAGAAATCTAAGACCGCCTTGATGGGATCTCCTGGTGGGGCTGCAGTGAGGATGGATGAGCCCAGGGCTCTGCTTTCCCTCCTCCGAACTACAAG